>NC_000007.14:150518985-150670500 GCF_000001405.40 Homo sapiens
AATGTAAGTTAATGTAATTGAATGGAATATAAATGAACATAAAATGAGCAATGGCCTATTTGTGAATTCTCTGTTTCTGTTTCATGGCCTGTCTCTATTCACTCACCAATATCACACTGCTTTAATTATAGAGATTATAATATTTAATTGTCTGGTAGAGCTAGTCTTCCCCTGTTCTTCTTTTCCTTGATTGTCTAGGCTAACTTGCATTTTCCTTCATCTGAATGAACTTTATAATCAACTATTTTAGTTCCAGAAAAAAAGATGACAAAATTGAAAAAATTATATTTGTATAAAATCATGTTAAAGAAATAGATATTTTTTCTGTTCTACAAACTACCGTAAACATGAATCAGTGTTAAATTTGGCCAAATATCTTTCCTGCATCTAGCTAATTTTCTTCTTAACCTATTAACGGGATGTGTTGTAACAATCAACATTCTCATATTGACCCACCATAGTATTTCTGAAATAAATCACACTTAATCACAGTCTATTATTTATTAGTGTCTAATAATTTATTTAGGATTTGTATATTAGTATTCACAAATGAGACACATCTTTAGTTTTCTTTATTGATGAAATATTTGTCAGCCTTTGGAATCAATATACTTGCTTCATAGAAAAAAAAAGTAACTTTTTCCTTCTTTTTATATGGCCAGGAGCAGTTTTAGGTAGCTTTGAGATCATCAGATCTTAAAAGGTTTAATAGAATTCACCTGTGAAACCATCTATACCTGGTACTACTTTGTGGGGAAACTCTTTAACTGCTTTCTCTATTATTTCTTCCATATTAATCGGACTATTTCATTTCTGTCTTTACTGTGATTAATATGGATAATAGGATATTACAAATTTTCAGGAAGAAAGAGAAAGCAGAAAAGAAGGTTGGGAATGGATCTCACTTACTAAAACTGGCTTTTTTTCCCCTATCTTCCCCTCCTTAAGGTCTTGTACGTGCCTAAGTTCTAGAGCCTCCTGACGTGAGCATGGCTGAGAGTGAGGACCGCTCCCTGAGGATCGTTCTGGTAGGGAAAACTGGAAGTGGGAAAAGTGCAACAGCGAACACCATCCTTGGAGAGGAAATCTTTGATTCTAGAATTGCTGCCCAAGCTGTTACCAAGAACTGTCAAAAAGCATCCCGGGAATGGCAGGGGAGAGACCTTCTTGTTGTAGACACTCCAGGGCTCTTTGACACCAAGGAGAGCCTGGACACCACCTGCAAGGAAATCAGCCGCTGCATCATCTCCTCCTGCCCAGGGCCCCATGCTATTGTCCTAGTTCTGCTGCTGGGCCGCTACACAGAGGAGGAGCAGAAAACCGTTGCATTGATCAAGGCTGTCTTTGGGAAGTCAGCCATGAAGCACATGGTCATCTTGTTCACTCGCAAAGAAGAGTTGGAGGGCCAGAGCTTCCATGACTTCATAGCAGATGCGGATGTGGGCCTAAAAAGCATCGTCAAGGAGTGCGGGAACCGCTGCTGTGCCTTTAGCAACAGCAAGAAAACCAGTAAGGCAGAGAAGGAAAGTCAAGTGCAGGAGTTGGTGGAGCTGATAGAGAAAATGGTGCAGTGCAACGAAGGGGCTTACTTTTCTGATGACATATACAAGGACACAGAGGAAAGGCTGAAACAACGGGAAGAGGTTTTGAGGAAAATCTACACTGACCAATTAAATGAAGAAATTAAACTAGTAGAAGAGGATAAGCATAAATCAGAGGAAGAAAAGGAGAAAGAAATTAAATTACTAAAATTAAAATATGATGAAAAAATAAAAAATATAAGGGAAGAAGCTGAGAGAAATATATTTAAAGATGTTTTTAATAGGATTTGGAAGATGCTTTCAGAAATATGGCATAGGTTTTTGTCGAAATGTAAGTTTTATTCTTCCTAATTTACTGTGATTTGTTAATGGATGAATTGTATTTTGCAAAGATAGTTAGAGAAATACCTCCTTCCCCTTAGCTTTATTAAGGTATCATTGATAAATAAAAATAAAATATGTTTAATGTATATAATGTGATTTTTAAATATATATATATATATACACACATTGTGAAATAATGAAATAAAGGTAATTAACACATCTAGCACCTCTCGGTTACTATTTTCTTTGGTGTGGTGAGAACATTTAAGGTCTACTCTCTTAGCAAATTGCAAAAATGCAATACAGTATTATTAAGTATAGTCATCATGCTGTATGTTAGATCTCCAGAGGAGGTTATTCATCCTGCATAACTAAAGTTTTGTACCCTTTGACCAACATTTCCCCATTTCCCCCAACACCCAGTCCCTGGCAATCAACATTCTATTCTTTGCTTCTGTGCATTCTACTTTATCAAATTCCACATGTAAGTGAGATCAAGCAGTGCCTGTCTTTCTGTGCTTAGCTTACTTTACTTAGCATACTGTCCTCTGGGTTCATCGATATTGTTGCAAACGACAAGATTTACTTCTTTTTCAAGGTTGAATAATGTTCCTTTATTAATGGAATGTTAATAATGCACTGCATTTTCTTTATTCATTCATCTGTCCATGGACGCACTTGGGTTATTTCCATATCTTGGCTATTGTGAATAATGTTGCAGTGAGCCTGGGAGTGCAGATATTTCTATAATAATGCTCATTGCAGCATTATTCACAATGGATAAAAATATATTTCAGTGGAATATATATGTAGTCGTTTATAAGCCACCTAGTTTATGGTATTTTTATAGCAGCCCAAATGGACTAATACCTAAAGGAAATGAAATATATCTTTATCCACTGGAATATATATATATATATATTCAGTGGAATGTGTATATTCAGGGGTCTCTCTTCAGCCTCTTTTATGAGGGCATTAATTTCATTTCTGGAGCTTCTGCCCCCATGACCTAATCACTTCCCTAGGGCCTACCTCCTTATACCATCACATTGGGGGTGAGGATTTCAACATATGAATTTTGGGGGGACATAATCATTTAGACCATAACATTCTGTTCCTGGCTCCCCAAAATGTATGCCCTTATCACATGCAAAATACATTACTTTCATCCCAGTAGCCTCAAAAATCTTGTTCCAACATCAATTTTAAAATGTAACTCCAAAGTCTCATCTAATTATCATCTAAATCAGATATGGGTGAGACTTAAGGTACAATTCATTCTGAGGCAAATTGCTTACCAGTTGTGAATCAGTGAAATCAAGTATATTATGAGCGTCAAACATACAATGGTGGGACAAGAATCAAATAGATGCAATAAAAAATGATAAAGGGGATATCACCACCGATCCCACAGAAATACAAACTACCATCAGAGAATACTATAAACACCTCTATGCAAATAAACTGGAAAATCTAGAAGAAATGGATAAATTCCTCGACACACACACCCTCCCAAGATCAAGATTTCTTTTTTTTTTTTTTTTTTTTTTTTTGAGACGGAGTCTTGCTCTTTTGCCCAGGTCAGAGTGCAGTGGCGCGATCTCGGCTCACTGCAAGCTCTGCCTCCCGGGTTCACGCCATTCTCCTGCCTCAGCCTCCCGAGTAGCTGGGACTACAGGCGCCCGCCACTGCGCCCTGCTAATTTTTTGTATTTTTAGTAGAGACGGGGTTTCACCGTGTTGGCCAGGATGGTCTGGATCTCCTGACCTCGTAATCCGCCCACCTCGGCCTCCCAAAGTGCCGGGATTACAGGCGTGAGCCACTGTGCCTGGCAAGATTTCTTACCCATGTATGATTTTTATAATACTATGTATCGGGGAACCTGCCCCGATAATCACGTAGGTTCTTTTCTATATTTCCTAAGCGTCGGCTGGCTTGAGAAATAAAGGGACAGAGTACAAAAGAGAGAAATTTTAAAGCTGGACATCCGGGGGAGACATCACACGTTGGTAGGATCCGTGATTCCCCACAAGCCACAAAAACCAGCAAGTTTTTATTAGGGATTTTCAAAAGGGGAGGGAGTGTGCAAATAGGTGGGGGTGACAGACATCAAGTACTTAACAGAGTAATAGAATATCACAAGGCAAGCGGAGGCAGGGTGAGATCACAGGACCACAGGACTGAGGCAAAATTAAAATTGCTAATGAAGTTTTGGGTTCCATTGTCATTGATAACATCTTATCAGGAGACAGGGTTTTGAGATCAACTGGTCTGACTAAAATTTATTAGGCGGGAATTTCCTCTTCCTAGTAAGCCTGGCAGCGCTATGGGAGACTGGAGTTTATTTCATCTCTGCAGCCTTGACCATAAGAGACGACCACGCCCCCTGGGGAGCCAGTTCAGAGACCCACTCCCAGGTGCGCATTCTCTTTCTCAGGGATGTTCCATGCTGAGGAAAAGAATTCAGTGATATTTCTCCCATTTGCTTTTGAAAGAAGAGAAATATGGCTCTGTTCCACCTGGCTCACCGGCGGTCAGAGTTTAAGGTTATCTCTCTTATTCCCTGAACAATTGCTGTTATCCTGTTCTTTTTTCAAGGTGCTCAGATTTCATATTGCTCAAACACTCCTGCTGTACAATTTGTGTAGTTAATGCAATTATTACAGGGTCCTGAGGCAACATACATCCTCCTCGGCTGACAGGATTAAGAGATTGCAGTAAAGACAGGCATAGGAAATCACAAGGGTATTGATTGGGGTAGTGATAAGTGTCCATGAAATCTTCACAACTTACATTTAGAGATGGCAGTAAAGACAGGCATAAGAAATTATAAAAGTATTAATTTGGGGAAGTAATAAGTGTCCATAAAATCTTCACAATCCATGTTCTTCAGCCATGGCTTCAGCCGGTCCCTCCGTTTGGGGTCCCTGACTTCCCGCAACAACTATGCATTGATCATTTGGAAATACTGACTCAGTTATGCAGATAATCAAATAATGACAGATTTCATTATATACTTACAGCAGCTGATACAAGCTGTCTAAAATTTTTGCTTAAAATCTAGGAACTTTATCATTGACCATAAATACTACCACTATTTTCCCTAAAGCAAAGGCTCACTGTTTTCAAGAAAATGTCTGAAAGGGAAAAATAGAAATGAAGAAAGGAGTGACAGTTACCAAGCAAGTCCAAAACCCTATGGCTCAAGAATAATCTTTTTTGGCTTGATGCTCTCAAGGCCCACTGATCTGGAGGTCCGGCCTTTTGGACCCTTTTTGATGGTTGTCCAGCCTCCAAAGTTTTGCCTGTCCCCACAGCTTTGCTGAGCTCAGCACACACCACACCAGAGCCTGCTAGAGCTGCACCTAGGGGAGCCGAGCAGCATGGCAACAGAGTGTGGGGAGCAGAGTCCACAATGTGAGGTAATGCTGAGCAGCAGTGGCCCCTCCTTTGAAATTGTTCTGATCCCCTGGGCCCTAGCATTCTGTGATGGCAGTCAGCCCTACTGATTTCTGAAATGCCTTTGGGGTCATTTTTCCATTGTCCTGGACAATAGGTCCTTGCTTCTGTTTAGATGGCTCACTGCCTTGATCAATAGCACATGACTTCCATTGAGACGGCTGATCCATACTAATTTTCTTTATCAAATGATCAATAGGCCACATCATTTTCTCTTCTGAAAAAGCTTTCTTATCTTTTTCCAATATGGATAGACTAAGAATTTTCTAAATGTTTAAGTTCTACTTCCCTTTAATTAACAAATCCATTTTTATTTCTCTCTTCTCACATTTTACTATAGGCAGTGAAGAGAAGCCACACTGTACCTTCAACACTTTGCTTATAAATTTCCTCTTCCAGATATCCAATTCATTACTCACAAATTCTACCTTCCACAAAACACTGGAACAAGAACACAACACAGCCAAGTTCTTTGCCACTTTATAATAAGGATTTCTGTTCTTTCATTGTCCAACAACACATTCTTCATTTCTCACTGGTGAGACCTCATCAGAATGGTCTTTACTAGCCATATTTCTACCAATAACCTAAGTTATTGGTATATCTACTTAGGTATTCACTAAGAAAATTGAGGATTTCTGAACTTCAGCAGAATCATCTTTAATGGTCCATTCACAGCAATGCAGGATTTTTCTAGCACAAAGCTCTCACTTCCAGCCTATACTTATTACCCAGTTCCAAAACTGCTTGCACATGTTAGGTATTTACTACAGCAGCACCTTCAGTTCTTGATACCAATATTCTTTCTTAGTTTGGAGTGCTATTACAAAATTCTATAAGTTGCATGGCCTATAAGCAACAGAAATTTATTTCCTACAGTTCTGGAGGCTGAGAAGTCCAAAGCACTGGCAGATTCAGCGTCTAGTAAAGGCCCATTTCCTCATAGACATCTATCTTTTCACTATAACCTCACATGGTGAAAGGGACAAGGGTCTTCTCTTGAGCCTCTTTTATTTTTGTTTTTGTTTTTGTTATTTGTTATCTGTTTTTTGTTATTTTGTTTTTTGTTATTTGTATTTGTTTTGTTTTGTTATTTTATTTTTTTAAACTTCCTATTGAGCCTCTTATATAAGGGCATTAATCACATTTATGAGGTCACTACCCCCATGAGCTAGTTACATTCCAAGTGCCCCATCTCCTGTTATCATCACACTAAGCATGAAAATTTATCATCACATTAAACATATCAATTTTGTGGGAACATAAACAATCAGAATATAACAGATATATACCCAGAAGCTTGCTGGATTATATGGTAGTTCTTATTTTTAATTTTTGGGGGAGCTTCCATCCTGTTTTCCATAATGGCTGTACCAATTTACATTCCCACCAACAGTGTACAAGTGTTACTTTTTCTCCACATTCTTGCCAACACTTGATATCTTTTGTCTTTTTGGTAATATACAGGTATGAGATAATATCTCATTGTGGTTTTGATTTGCCTTTCATTGATGATTACTGATGTTGGGCATTTTTTTCATATTCTTGTCATAAAGATATTTGTATGTCTTATTTTGAGAAATGTCTGTTCAGGTCCTTTGCCTATTTTTTAATTGGGTTATTTGTTTAATTGCTGTTGAATTGTTTAAGTTCCTTGTGTATTTTGGATATTAACCCCTTGTGAGATGTATGATTTACAAATATTTTCTCCTATTCCATAGGTTGTCTCTTCACACTGTTGATTGTATCTTTTGCTATGCAGGATATGTTTTGTTTGAGATAACCCCGTTTGTCTATTTTTGCTTTTGTGGCCTATGCTTTTGGTGTCATAAAAAATCATCACCCAGATCAAGATTTTCCCCATGTTTCTTCTAGCAGTTTACAGTTTTAGGCCTACCATGTAACTATTTAATCCATTTCGAGTTGATTTTTTTAAGATAATGGCCCAATTTCATTCTTCTGCATGTGGATATCCAGTTTTCCCAACACCATTATTGAAGAAACTATCCTTTTGTCTTTGTACATTCTATGTTCAACTGACCATAAATGTGTAGGCTTATTTCTGGGTTTATTATTCTGTTCATTGGTCTTTATGTCCGTTTTTATGCTAGTAGCATAATTTTTGATTACTATAGCTTTGTTTTAATTATAATAGTATGTTTTGATTGCTATAGCTTTGTTTTGATTACCATATTTTGAAATTAAGTAGTGCGAGGGCCCCAGCTTTGTTCTTTTAGTTGAAGATTGCTTTGGCTACTTAGGGTCTTTTGTGGTTCCATATAGATTTTAGATTCTTTTTCACTCTTGTGAAAAATGGAATTAGAATTTTGACAGAATTTCATCGACTATATAGATTGCTTTGGGTAGTAAAGACATTTAACAATATTACTTTAATCCATAAACATTACACACACAAACACACACACACACACATATAGTGTATATATATATATATATATATATATATATATTTGTGTTTATTTGTGTCATCTTCAATTTCTTTTATCAACATTTTATAGTTTTCAGCATATAGGTCTTTCACCTCCTTGGTTAAATTTATTCCTGAGTATTTTGGGGGTAGCTAATGTAAATGGGATTGTTTCTTTAATTTCTTTTTTGTAGAGTGAATTGTTAGTAGATAGAAACACAACTGATTTCTGTATTTTTTTTTCAAGTGGAGTCTTTGGTTTTCTATGTATAACATCATGTCATCTGTAAACAGAGGTTATTTTATGTCTTTCTTTCCAATTTGGTTATCGTTTATCTCTATTTCTTGCCTAATTGCCCTGGCTAGAACTTCAAGCACCATGGTAAAAGTGGCAAGACTGAGCATTCTTGTCTTGTTCCTGATCATACAGGAAATGCTTTCAGCTTTTCAACATTGAGTATGGTGTTACCTGTGGGCTTGTCACATATGGCCTTTATTGTGTTGAGGTACATTCTTTCTTTTTTTTTTCAACTTTTATTTTAGGTTCAGGGATACATACAAAAGTTTGTTATATAGGTAAACTAGCATTTCTAGGTAAATTAAACTAGATTACTTCATCACCCAGGTATTAAGCCCACTACCCAATAGTGATCTTTTCTGCACCTCTCCCTACTCCCACTATCCACCCTAAAGTAGAACCCAGTGTCTGCTGTTTCCTTCTTTGCATTCATAAGTTCGTATCATTTAGCTTCCCCTTATAAGTGAGAACATGCGGTTTTTGGTTTTCTGTTCCTGCATTAGTTTGCTAAGGATTAACAACCTCCAGCTCCATCCATGTTCCCGGAAAAGACAAAACCTTATTCTTTTTGTGGCTGCATAGTATTCCATGTTGTATATGTATCAGATTTTCTTTATCAAATCTGTCATTGATGGGCATTTACGTTGATTCCATGTCTTTGCTATTGTAAATAGAGCTGCAGTGAACATTCATGTGCATGTGTCTTTATGGTAGAATGATTTATATGCCTCTGGGCATATAAGTAATGAGATTGCTGGGTTGAATGGTAGTTCTGCTTTTAGCTCTATGAGAAATTGCCATACTGCTTTCCACAATGATTGAACAAATTTACACTCCCACCAACAGTGTATAAGCATTCCCTTTTCTCAGCAACCTCACCAGCATGTTATTTTTCTGACTTTTTAATAGTAGCCATCTTGACCAGTGTGAGATAATATCTTATTGTGGTTTTGATTTGCATTTCTCTAATGATCAGTGATGTTGAGCTTTTTTTCATATGCTTGTTGGCTGCATATATGTCTTCTTTTGAAAAGTGTCTGTTCATGTCCTTTACCCACTTTTTAATGGGGTAGTTTATTTTTCTTGTACATTTGTTTAAGTTCTTTATACATGCTGGATATTAAACCTTTGTCAGATGCATAGTTTGCAAAAATGTCTCTGATTCTGTAGGTTGTCTGTGACTCTGTCGATATCTCTTTTGCTGTGCAGAAACTCTTATTTAGATAACTGTTTGTCAATTTTGCTTTTGTTGCGATAGCTTTTGGTGTCTTGGCCATGAAATCTTTGCCCAGTCCTATGTCGAGAATGGTATTGCCTAGTTGTCTTCCAGGGTGTTCATACTTTTGGGTTTTCCATTTAAGTCTTTAATCCATCTTGAGTTGATTTTTGTATATTGTGTAAGCAAGAGGTCCAGTTTCAACAGTTTCAATCTTCTGCACATGGCTAACCAGTTATCCCAGCACCATTTGTTAAATAGGGAGTGTTTTCTCCATTTCTTGTTTTTGTCATCTTTGTTGAAGATCAGATGGTTGTAGATGTGTGACCTTATTTCTGGGCTCTCTAATCTGTTCCATTTATCTATGTACCTGTTTTTGTACCAGTACTATGCTGTTTTGGAGATTGTACCTCTGTAGTATAGTTTGAAGTGAGTAATGTGATGCCTCCAGCTTTGTTCTTTTTGCTTAGGATTGCTTTTGCTATTCGGGCTCCTTTATGGCTGTACATCAATTTTAAAATAGCTTTATTTCTAGTTCTGTGGAGAATGTTGTTGGTAGTCTGATAGCAATAGCATTTAATCTGTAAATTGCTTTGGGCAGTATGGCCATTTAAACAATATTAATTCTTCATGAGCATGGAATGTTTTTTCATTTGTTTGTGTCTTTTCTGATATATTTGAGCAGTGTTTTGTAATTCTCGTTGTAGAGATCTTTTATCTCCCTGGTTAGCTGTATTCCTAGGTATTTTATTCTTTTAGTGGCAATTGTGAATGGGATTACCTTTCTGACTTGACTCTCTGTTTGGATCTTGTTGGTGTATAGGAATGCTAGTGACTTTTGTACATTGATTTTTGTATGCTGCAGCTTTGCTGAAGTTGTTTATCAGCTCAAAGAGATTTTGGCCCAAGACTATGGGGTTTTCTAGACATAGAATCATGTTGTCTGCAAACAGACATAGTTTGACTTCCTCTCTTCCTATTTAAATGTTCTTTATTTCTTTCTCTTGTCTTATTGCTCTGGCCAGGACTTCATCCTATGTTGAATAGAAGTGGCAAGAGAGGGCGTTCTTGTCTTGTGCTTGTTTTTAAGAGGAATGTTTCCAACTTTTGCCAATTCAGCAATGTTAACTGTGGGTTTGTCATAGACGGCTCTTATTATTTTGATGTGTGTTCCTTTAATACCTAGTTGACTGAAAGTTTTTAACATGAAGGAATGTTGCATTTTGTCAAAAGCATTTTCTGTGTCTATTAATCATGTGGTTTTTGTCTTTAGTTCAGTTTTTGTGATAAATCACATTTATTGATTTGTGTATGTTGAACCAACCTTGCGTCCCAGGAATAAAGCTGAATTGACCATGGTGGATTAGCTTTTTGATGTCCTGCTGGATTCAGCTTACAGGTATTTTGTTGAGGATTTTTGCATCAAAGTTCATAAAGTATATTGGCCTGAAGTTTTCCTTTTTTGTTGTGTCTCTGGCAGGTTTTGGTATCAAGATGATGCTGACCTCATACAATGAGTTGGGGAGGTGTCCCTCCTCCTTAATTTTTTGGAATAGTTTCTGTAGGAGTGGTACCAGCTATTCTTTGTACATCTGGTAGAATTTGGCTATGAATCCATCATGTACTGGGCTTTTTTTTTTTTTTTTTTTGGTTGGTAGGCTATTTATTACTGATTCAACTTCAAAGCTCATTATTGGTCTGTTCAGGGAATCAACTTCTTCCTGGCTCAGTCTTGGGCTGGTGTATGTGTCCAAGAGTTTATCCATCTCTTCTAGGCTTTCTAGTTTGTGTGCACAGAGGTGTTTATCGTAGTCTCTGATGGTTGTTTGAATTTCTGTGGAATCAGTAGTAACATTCCCTTCATCATTTCTGATTGTGTTTATTTGGGTCTTCTCCATTTTTTTCCTTATTAGTGTAACTAGAGGCTTGTCTATCTTATTACTTTTTTCAAAAAGCCAACTCCTAGATCTGTTTGTCTTTTGAATTTTGTGTGTGTGTGTGTGTGTGTGTGTGTGTGTGTGTGTCTCGATTTCTTTCACTTCAGCTCTGATTTTGGTTATTTATTGTATTCTGCTAGCTTTGGGGTTGATTTCTTCTTGCTTCTCTAGTTCTTTCAGTTGTGATGTTAGGTTTTTAATTTGAGATCTAACTTTTTTTTTTTTGAGACAGAGTCTCACTCCGTCACCTAGGCTGGAGTGCAGCAGCATGATATTGGCTCACTGCAACCTCCGGCTCCTGGGTTCTAGTGATTCTCCTGCCTAAACTTTCTGAGCAGCTGGGACTACAGGTGTGTGCCACCATGCCTGGCTAATTTTTGTATTTTTAGTAGAGACAGTGTTTCACCGTGTTAGCCAGGATGGTCTTGATCTCCTGACCTTGTAATCTGCCCATCTTGGCCTCCCAAAGTGCTGAAATTACAGGCATGAGGCACAGTGCCCAGCTGAGATCTAACTTTTTAATGTGGGCATTTAGTGCTATAAATTTCCCCCTTAACATTGCCTTAGCTGTGCCCCAGAGATTCTGGTATTTTGTATCTTTGTTCCCATTATTTTCAAAAAACTTGTTGATTTCTGCCTTAATTTCATTATTTACCCAAAAGTCATCCAAGAGCATGTTGTTTAACTGCATGGATTTAAGCAATTTTCTTGGTCTTGACATCTATTCCTATTGTGCTGTGGTCCATGAGTGTGTTTGGTATGATTTAAGCTCCTTTGCATTTGTTGATTGTTTTATGTCCAATTACGTGGTTCATTTTAGAGTATGCGCCATGTGGTGATGAGAAGAGTGTATATATATTCTGTCGTCTTTGGGTGGAGACTTCTGTAAATGTCTATTAGATCCATTTGGTCCAATGTTGAGTTGAGGTCCTGAATATCTTTGTTAATTTTCTGCCTTGATGATCTGTCTAATACTGTTAGTGGAGTGTTGAATTCTCCTACTATTATTGTGTGAGAGTCTATATCTCTTTGTAGGTCTCTAAGAATTTTCTTTATGAATCTGGGTCCTCCTGTGCTGGGTGCATATATATTTCAGATAGTTAGGTATTCTTATTGAATTGAACCCTTTACCTTTATGTAATTCCCTTCTTTGTGTTTTTTGATCTTTGTTGGTTTGAAATCTGTTTTGTCTTAAAGCAAAAAAAAAAAAAAATACATATTTGGTTAGTTTGTACCTTGCTAAACTAATTGATGCTAGAGAGGCAAAATAAAAAAAACAAACCTGGACTCAAATAAAAATTTAGTTATTATAATTTAAATGAGATTATTTACATATGCAATTCTACAAAATATTTTTTCTTAGGTAGACCAGGCTTAACATTACTTAATAAAAACTCAGGTATAAAAGATTCCATATTTTTTCCTTATTTTTCATCTTCTTTTCTTCTAAATTGAGGTCAATAACATTTTCTTCTCACTAAAAAAAAAGAAATCTGTTTTGCCTGAAAATAGGATTGCAGCTCCTGCTTTTTTCTCTTTTCAATTTGCTTGGTAGATTTCCCTCTATCCCTTTATTTTGAGCCTATGAGTGTCATTACATGTGAGATGGGTCTCTTGAATCAGCATATCATTGGGTCTTGCTTCTTTATCCAGCTTGTCACTCTATGCCTTTTAAGTGGGGGCATTTAGTCCATTTACATTAAGGTTAGTATTGATATATGTGTATTTAATCCTGTCATTGTGCTGTTAGCTGGTTATTATGTTCGCTTGTTTTTATGGTTGCTTTATAGTGGTCTGTGTGTTTAAGTGTGTTTTTGTATTACCTGGTAGCAGTCTTTCTTTTCTATATTTAGTGCTCATCTCAAGATCTCTTGTAAGGCAGGAATGGTGGTAATGAGATCCCTCAACATTTGCTTATCTGAAAAGGATCTTATTTCTCCTTCACTTAGGAAGCTTAGTTTGGCTGGATATGCAATTCTTGGTTGAAGATTTTGTCTTTAAGGGTGTTGAATATTGGCACCAAATCTCTTCTGGCTTGGAGGGTTTCAGCTGAGAGACCCACTGTTAGCCTGAAGGGTTTCCCTTTGTAGGTGGCTTCCCTTTCTCTCTAGCTGCCTTTAACATTCTTTCATTTCAACCTTGGAAAATCTGACAGTTATGTGTATTGGGGATGATCCTCTTATGTAGATTCTTGCAGGAGTTCTCTGTATTTCCTGAATTTGACTGTTGGACTCTCTAGCAAGGTTGGGGAAGTTTTCATAAACAGTATCCTGAAATATATTTTCCAAGTTGTTTGCTTTCTCCCCTTCCCTTTCAAGCAATGCCAATCGGATTTGCCCTCTTTACATAATCTCATAATTCTCAGACACTTTATTCATTCATTTTTAGCCTTTTTTCTTTATTTTTTGTCTTATTTCAGAGAACCAGTATTCAAGTTCTGAGATTCTTTCCTCAGCTTGATTTCTTCTGCTTTTAATATTTATGATATTATTGTATTATGTTATTCAGCTCTGTCAGATGCATTAGGTTCTTTTTTATACTGGTTATTTTGTCCTTCAGCTCCTGTATTGCTTTATTGTGATTCTTATTTTCCTTGGATTGGGTTTTGCCATCCTTCTGAATCTCAAAGATTTTTGTTTCTATCCATATTTTGTCTTCTATTTCTGTCATTCCAGCCATTTCAGCCTGGTTAAGAACCCTTGTTGGAGAACTGGTGTGCCATTTGGAGGACATATGACAATCTGGCCACTTGAGTTACTGGAGTTCTTGCGTTGGTTCTTTCTCATCTCTGCATGTCGGTGTTCCTTTAACTGCAGTGTAGATTGAATACAATCAATAAACTTCTTTTTATGGATGTTTTCACAGGGCCAAGTCTTTGTGCAGGGTCTCTATTTGAAGCTGACTTCTTGTCTCTGGTTTCAGAGGAGGGTATGTTAGTGAGGTATTTTTGGTGTTGAAGCTTTGGGGTGTGATCCAGCAGGTGGCACTTATGTTTGTTGGTCAGTTCGTAGACTCTTGCTTGGTTGTGTGGCTCCCCTATGTTTCCTCATAGTTGCAGCCATGTTCCCTCTCAATGCTCTGAAAGTGTTGGTTTCTCTCTCTCTTGACTGCTGGCTGTAGATCATGGTTTGGTGCTCCTGGGCTGCCCACTGCAGCTCTGGGGTGATCTCAGTGTTTACATTCCTTCCTCAAATTGGAGTCAGTAAAGGAAGAACTTTAGTAGTGGTTGTGGACAATGGTCTTTTGCTTGTCTCCCAGGGGCCCCACCCCAGAAAGATGCAGGTCAGCAGTTGCTCAGTGCAATTAGCCCAAGATGGAGGGTCTGTGCTGGAGGGCCCAAGCCAGGGATTCCCTGTCTGGTGATGAGCAATGGGGGTGTGGGGGACCCATGGAAATTGGACTGGCTTCCTCTTCTTGGATGAAATGTAGCTTGTTGGAGGTGTGTATAAGGCACTTAGGGTCTTTGCTCCTATGTTAGTCCACGGGTGGCAAAGGCAGTTCCACTGCAGAGGCAGTGGCAGAGAGATTTTCAGTTGCCCTGGAAGGCTCTGTCCAGGGAGTTGCTGAGTTGCTATTGGCTTGATAGCTCTGGTGGTGGGTGTCTGGAGGCCAAGCCTGGAGGACCTGTCTGGTAAGGAGATATGGGAATGGCCACCCACATAACAGTCTGGCCAATTTTCCATAGGGCTTCTGCGGTATGCTAGGGGCCCACTCCAGTCCCTAGTTACCTCGGATTTTACCTGGAGGTAACACCAGAGAAGCCTGTCAAATAGCAAAGATGGCAAACTGCCCTTCCCTCTGGGAGCTTCATCCTGTTGCTAGCCTGTTGCTAGCTTGTTCAAGCCTGTTGCTAGCCTGAACACACCTGTAGGAGGTGGCTGGAGACCCCGATAGAAAGGTCCCACCCAGTAAGGAGAAATGTGATTGGGGACCCACTTTAAAAAGCAGTCTGGCCATGATTTCATAGAGCAGCTAAGCTGTGCTGGGGATCCACTTCAGCTCCTGGTTGCCTTGGACACTTCAAAGCCTGAACGCTGGAATAGCTAAGTTGCCCAGACAGCAAGGATGGTGGTCCACCCTTCATGCTGAGAGCTTCATCCCAGAGAATTAAAATCTCTGTTGGCTGGAGAACACTAATGGGGGTGGCTAGAGGCCCTGGTTGGGAGATCCTACTCAGGGAAGAGGAATGGGATTGGGCACCCACTTAAAGAAGCAGTTTAGCCACATTTTGTTAGAGCAGCTGTGCTGTTCTGGGTGGGTCCCTTCTGCCTGTGGTCAGCTAAGACTCTCCAAATTCTGAAGACTTGGTTGGGGGCTAAGTAGCTCAAACAGCAAAGATGAAAGATGGCAGCCTGCCCCTTCTCCTGGGAGCTCCATCACAGGGAAGTGCAATGCTGCTACCAGTGGCTGGCTGGAACTCCAAGCTAATGGGTCTTATCCTGTGAGGTGCCATGGAAGTGGGGCCTGCAGGCTGTCACTGCTCAGTCCCTTGGATTCAGCCTCTTACCTAGGGGTATGTACAGGGATCTAACCTCGCACTTTGCTGGAGTTGCAGCTACTTTTGCCGGAAAGCCTGAGTATCTAAGCTTCCCAGGACTCCATGCATGCCTGAGCAGCTGCTCCGCTGAGACTCCATAGCTCTGTTTGTCCACCAAAGACCCCAGTGGAATGGGTTCACAAGAAGATCTCCTGGCCCATGGGTTGCAAAAATTTGTGGGAGAAGTGTGGGTTCCTGGGGTCGCACATGCACTAACTGCTTCCCTGGGTGGGGGAGATTCCCCTGCCTCTGTGTTGCTCCTGTGTGGGCCGTCATGCTGTCTTGCTTTTCTTCATTCTCCAGGGTCAAGTTATTTCCTTGATTAGAGGCAATGCAAGTACCTGATGTTCCACGTTGAGATGATGTATTTACTTGCTCTTTTTGTTCCTCTCCGTGAGAGCCATGCATATTAATTGCTTCTAGTTGGCCATCTTGGCCACCATAAAGGTACATTCTTTCTGTACTTAACTTGTTGAGCATTTTTGTCATGAAAGGATACTGAATTTTGTCCAGTGCTTTCTTTGCGTCTATTGAGGTGATCATATGATTTTTATCCTTTATTTTGTTAGTGTAGTGTGTCACATTTATTTATTTGCATATGTTGAGCCGTTTTTGCATTCTAGGGATAAATCCCACTTACTCAAAGTGTATAATGTTTTTAATGTGCTGTTGAAATCAGTATGCTTGTATTTTATTAAAGAGTTTAACATCTATGTTCATCAGAGATATTGGCCTGTAATTTTCTTTGCTTGTAGTGTCCTCTGGTTTTGGTATTAGGGTAATCGTGGCCTCATAAAATGAGTTTGAAAGTGTTCCTTTTCCTTCAATTTTTCAGAAAAGTTTGAGTGGAATTGGCATTACATTCATTTTGCTATAAGTGTTTGTTAAAATTCACCAGTGGAGCCTTCATGTCTAGAGCTTTTGTTAGGAGTGTTGCAATTACGGATTTAATCTCCTTACTTGTCATTGATCTATTAAGATTTTCTATTTCTTGGTGATTCAGTCTTGATAGGTTGTATATGCCTATGAATTTACTAACTTTCTCTAGGCTATCAAATTTATTGGTCTATAATTATTTATAATAATTTCTTGTGGTCCTGCAGTGTATACCTGCAGTATCAGTTGTAATGTTTCTGCTTTTATTAATAATATTATATATTTGAGTCTTTTTTCTTTTTTCTTAGTTAGTATAACTAAAGGTGTTTCTATGGCCCCAAACTCCAGGCCTTTCCCATTGTCAGGTGGCCCTTTGCAGCCCCAGGCTCCAGGGCCACCTTGCAGACACAGGTCCTAGGCCAACTCCAGCAATAGGTCTGCCCTCATAACCTCAGGCTCCAGGTCTGTTCCAGCACCAGGCCAGCCCCACAAAGCGCCAGGCTTCAGGCTTGTCCCACAGCCTCAGGCTTCAGGTCAGCCTCTGCAGTCTCATTCTGTAGACTAGCACTCATGGGATGAGGGTTCATGTTGGATCTGAAGATGAACTTTAAGGCCTGCTCCAGGGCCAAGCTGGCTCCCATTGACCCAGGCTTTGGGCTGACCCACATGGACCCAAGTTCAGGTTCATCCCAGCACCAGGCTGGCCCCATGGCTCCAGGATGCAGGCCTGCTCTGAAGACTAAACCTTCAGACCAGACATCACAGCCCCAGGATCTAGAATGTACCCGTGGCCCCTGCCTTCAGGCTTCTGTCCACAAGCCCAGAACCCAGTGAACTCTGGTGCCAAGCTAGCCACTATAGACCTGAGATTCAGGCATAAACCCAAAGACCCAATTTCTAGTCTCACCATAGCACCAGGATGGCCCCTGTAGACTCTGGGCCCACAGACTCAGAACCAGGCCCATCTCCATGGTTCCAGATGTGAGGCCCTTCTTAGTGACAGGCCTGCCCACAGGGACCTAAGCTCCAGTGCCACCCTAGTGGATCCAGGCTCCAAGCTGGTCATTGTAGATCCAAGCACCAGGCCTGCCCACCTACTTGCTGAGGGACCAGGGTAGCATGTTCAAGGACTCCAATACCAAGCTGTGTTAGGCCATTCTTGCACTGCTATAAAGAAATACCTGTGGCTCAGTAATTTGTAAAGAAAAGAGTTATAATTGCCTCATCAACCTGTAGGCTGTACCAACATGGCTACAGCATCTGCTTCTGGTGAGGGTCTCAGGAACCTTACAATTATGGAGGAAGGTGAAGTGGGAATAGGCAGGTCACATGATAAGAATGGGAGTAAGAGCGGGAGGTAGAGGCCACGCACTTTTAAACAACCAGTTCTCACATGAACTCAGAGCAAGAACTCATTATTACCAAGGAGATGGTTCTAAACCCTTCATGAGGGAACTGCCCCCATGATCCAATGACCTCCCACCAGGCCCCACTTCCAACACTGGGAATCAAATGTCAACATGGGATTTGGAGGGGACAAACATCTAAACTATATCACAAGCCCACTGATAAACCCCATTAGCTGGCTTACCTAGAATCTTAGGGCTGACTGGTGGAGGGCTTTCCCTGCTGAATCCAGTTTGTAAAGACCGAAAAAGCTGCCTACTTCTTTAAATATGCAAACACCAATTTAAAGCCCCAAGGATTACAGATAATCAGAAAAACATGACACCAAAAGAACAAACTAAAACACCATTAACAGACCTTACAGAAATGCAGATCTATGAACTGCCTAAGAGTTCAAAATAATTATCTGAAAAAAGTTTAGTGAGCCACAAGAAAACACAAACTGAACAATAATCAGAATACATAAACAAAGAGTTGTTCAACAAATAGAAACCATTAAAATGAACGAAATTCAGAAGCTGAAGAACACAATAACTGAACTGAAAATTTCAGAGAGCTTCAATAGCAGATTTGAATTATAAGAACTAGTGAGTTCAAAGGCACATCGTTTGAAATTACCCAGTACGAGGAACAAAAAGAAGAATGAAAAAGCACGAAGAAATCCTACAGACTTATGGGACATCATCAAGTGAACCAACACACATTATGGAAATTTCAGAAGCAGAGAAAGATAAAAAAGCAGAACATTTATTTAAAGAAATAATATAAAATTCCCCAAATCTGGAGAGGGAAATGAACATCTAGGTCTATAAAGCCTAAAGGACTCTAGACATCATAGCCCCAGGATCTAAGTTATAACCGTGGCCCCTGCCTTCAGGCTTCTGCCCACAAGCCCAGGCTCCAGTGGACCCTGGTGCTGATCTAGCCCCTATAAACTAAGTAGATTAAATGTAAAGGGATCTTCACTGAGATGCATTATACTCAGTTCTCAAAAGTCAGTAACAAATATAATTTTCAAATCAGTAAGATAAATACAGCTTAACAGGAAGAAATCTTTTTTTTTTCTTTGAGACAGAGTTGCTCTGTCATCCAGGCTGGAGTGCAGTGGCACAATCTTGGCTCACTGCAAACTCCTCCTCGGTTCAAGTGATTTTCCTGCCTCAGCCTTCCAAGTAGCTGGGATTACAGGTGCCCACCACAATGCTTGGTTAATTTTTAAATTTTTAATAGAGATGGGGTTTCACCATGTTGTCCAGGCTGTTCTCAAACTCCTGACTTCAGGTGTTCTGCCTGCCTTGGCCTCCCAAAGTGCTGGGATGACAGGCGTGAGCCACCGCACCTGGCCAAGGAATCTTCATAAGACTGTTAGCAGATCTCACCAGAAACTTTACAGGCTGAGAGAGTGAAATGATATATTCAAAGTGCTAAAAGGAAAAAATTGCCAACCAAGAATCTTATACCCAGCAAAGATGTTCTTTACCAATGGAGGAGAGATAAAAGGTTTTCCCAGACAAATAAAAGCTGAAGGAATTCATCATCATCTGCCTTACCATGCATGCAAAAGGGAGTATTTTAGGTTGAAATTAAAGGATGCTAACAAATATCATGAGAATATATAAACTGTTATTGAGCAATGGGCTTGCCAATCAATGTGCATAGAAGCCAACACTATGGCACTGGCTTTTGAGAATAAAAGTTTCATTTTGAGTTTACTGGCAAGGAGACAGGAGGAAATGCTGAAATGTGTCTCTTCAATTTGGAGTTGGGCCAAGCTTTTATGGCATTTCTAACTAGGCCTAGGTGATGCCACTGCAGCTGGTCTGCCAGATTGGTTGTGTTAAAAATCAGGAGGTTAACATTGTTCATGGCTGGGGTCAATGACTTGCAATTTTGCCTCTGCAACATCTGTAACAACTTAAGCAGTGGTTAATTGGTTTGAGCTGGTCCCACGGTTATAAGCCCCCTGTATTATGTCATTCTTGCATTGCTATAAAGAAATACCTGAGACTGGATAATTTATAAAGAAAAGAGGTTTAACTGGCACAGTTTTGAAGGCTGCTCAAGCATAGCTCTGGCATCAGCTCAGTTACTAGAGAGATGAAAAAAGGGAGCTTTCATTCATGGCAGAAGGTGAAGTGGGAGCAGACACATCACATGGCCAGAGCAGTAGCAAGAGAGAGAGTGGGGAAGTTGGGGGAGGTACAACACACTTAAACAACCGTATCTCAAGAAAGCTCACTCACTACTGCAAGGACAGAACCAAGCCACAAGGGATTCACTCCCATGACCCAAACACTTCTCACCAGACCCCACTTCCAACATTGGGGATTATAATTCAACATGAGATTTGGGAGGGACATATATTTAAACTATATCATTCCACCCCTGGCCTTCCAAATTTCATATCCTTCTCACATTGTAAAATAAAATCATGCCTTCCCAACAGCCCCCTGCCCCACACACAAATCTTAACTAATTTCAGCATCAACTCAAGGAAAAGTTCCAAGTCCAAAGTCCAAAGTCTCATCTGGTAATGAGTACCTTCCACCTATGAGCTTGTAAAATCAAAACAAGTTATTTACTTCCAAGATACAATGGGGTATAGGCATTGGGTAAACCACTTCAAAACAAAGAAATCAGCCACAAGAAAGAGACTACAGGCCTCATACAAGTTTGGAACCCAGACTTGTATGGGAAGTCATTAAATCTGTTTGTTTTTTTCAAGATGGGGATCTCATTTTGTTGCCCAGGTTGGTCTCAAACTCCTGGCCTCAAGCAATCCTCCTACCTCGGCCTCCCAAATGCTGGGATTACACGCATGAACCACCATGCTCAACCCTGAAGTAATTAAATTTTAAAGTGCCAAAATAATCTCCTTTGACTCCATGTCCCATATCTAGGGCACACTGATGTAAGGGGTGGGCTCCTAAAGCCTTGACCAGCTCCACCGATGTCTTTCCCACACTGAGGTTGCAAGTTGTTGGTGGATCTACCATTCTTGGGCATGGAGAACAGTGGTTTCCTTCTCACAGCTCCACTAGCCAGTAAGGAATCTGTGTGGGCCCTCTAATCCCCACTGCCCTATTAGAGTTTCTCCATGAGGGCTCTGCCCCTGCAGCAGCCACTCAGGCTTTCTCATACATCTTCTAAAATCTTGGTAGAAGATGCCAAACCTCTTTCAGTCTTGCATTCTGTGTGCCTGTAGGCTTAACACCTCGTGGAAGCCACAAGACTTATGGCTCACACCCTCCAAAGTAGTAGCTTGAGCTGTACCTGGGCTCCTTTGAGCCGCAGCTGGAGTTGGAGTAGCCAGGAGGAACAGTGTCCCAAGGCTGTGCATGGCAGTGGGTCCCCAGAACAGGCCCATGGAATTGTTCTCTCCTGGGCCTCTAGGCCTGCGATGGGAAGGGCTGCCTCAAAAATCTCTGAAATGTCTTTAAGGCCCTTTTCCCATTATGTTAGCTATTAGTACCTGGTTCCTTTTTAGTTATGCAAATATCTCTAGCAAACGGTTTCTCCAAAGCCTGCTTGAATTCCTTTCCCAAAAAAGTTTTATTTCTCTGCCACTTGGCCAGTCTGCAAATTTTCCAAACTCTTGTGCTCTACTTCCTATTTAAATATTCCAACTTTAAGTCATTTATTTGCTCCTGCATCTGATGGTAAGCTGTTAGAAGCAGCTGGGTAACATCATGAATGCTTTGCTGCTTAGAAATTTCTTCTGCCAGATATCCTAAATCACTCTTTAGTTGAAACTTCCACCAACTCTCATGGCATAAACACAATGCAGCCAAGTTCTTTGCTAAGGCATAACAAGGGTGACTTTTGCTCCAGTTCCCAGTATGTTTCTCATTTCCATCTGATACCTTGGCAACCTGGACTTAATTGTCCATATCACTATCATTGTTTTGCTCAAAACAATTTAACCAGTCCCTAAGAAGTTTCAAACTTTCCCTCATTTTCCCATCTTCTTCTGATCTCTACAAAGTCTTCTAACCTCTGCTACCCAGTTCCAAAGCTGCTTCCACATTTTCAGGTATCTTTATAGCAATGCCCCATTCCTCAGTACCAATTTTCTATATTAGGCAGTTCTTACATTGTGATAAAGAATTACCTGAGACTGGGTAATTTGTAAAGAAAATAGGTTTAATCAGATCATGGTTCTGCAGGCTGTACAAGCATAGTGCTGGCATCAGCTCAGCTTCTAGGGAGGCCTCAGGGAGCTTTAACTCCACTAGGCAGTGCCCCAGTAGGGATTCTGTGTGGGGCTTCTAACTCATTTCCCCTCCAAACCCTGCTATTAAAGGTTCTCTGTGAGGGCTCTGCCCCTGCAACAGGCTTCTTTCTGGGCACCCAGGCTTTCTCATACATCCTCTGAAATCTTGGTGGAGGCTGCCAAGCTTCCTTCACTCTTGCATTCTGTATGCCTGTGGGCTTAATACCACATGGAGGCCTCCACAAACTCTTCCAACCTCTGCCTGTTACCCAGTTCCAAAGCTGCTTCCACATTTTCAAGTATTTTTATAGCAGGGCTCTATTCATCAATACCATTTTTTAATGTGACAATTTTGTTTTGATTTTTTAAAAAATGAGTCTGTTGATTTAATCAGGGCTTTGGGGTCATAAGACATTAGTCACTGTCATAGTCATAATGATGCATTTATTCAGGGAAAATTTTAATTTTTTTTTTCTTCTTCAGAAACAGCTGCAGGAACACCTAAAATTAAGCAATGTTCGTCCATAAAACTTTACTGAAACTTGATTCCTTTCACCAGAGGAAGATCCTTACCATAGTTGATGATACAAGTAAACCTTCTCATGCACTATTTCCAGGAGTCATCACCAGATGCCCTGCCACCACAAATGTGCTTTTCTCCTCCAAATGCACCTGCAATCTCAGCTCCGCTCATTGGAATATTGACATTTACAATGCCACAGTTAGATCTTTTAGGTCCAAGCCAGTGGAAGATTCTGCCCAAATCTTTGGTAAAGATGCTACTTGAAATACCCTGTTTTACTTCATTATTTCACACAAAGAGCTCTTCTTCATTCTTAAATTTAAAAACATAGAGAATTGGAGCAAAAGTCTCTGTGTATAGAAGCAGGAACAGACACATCACATGGCAGAGCAGGAACAAGAGAGAGAGAATGGGTAGGGAAGGTTCCACACATTTAAACAACTGGATCTCAAAAGAATGCACTATGACATGAGAGTCTGCCCTTATGACCCAAACACCTCCCCCAAGACCCCACCTCCAACACTGGGGATCACAATTCAACATGAAATTTGGCAGCAACACATATTCAAACTATATCAACTCCCTTTCTGTTGTGCATTCCTCAATCTTGAGGGATATGGGGCAATGGCAATTCTAGCTACTGTTTGCTGACAAGGGGAATTGGTCTAGGTTTGAGGAATAAAACTGTTTTACATTTAATTGTAAATACACATGGGTCCCAGAATGTGGCCAAGCCTTTGGGTTTGGGCTCTTATATTAAAGTAGAAATTTTTTTTCATGATTGAGAAAGATGGAAAGGGGGCATATAATGGCTCAGGAGACAAAGTCCATCAATTTACCCCCTGTATAAGCATGTGTGTGTGCCTGCCCTTGATTTTGGGGATCTGAACCCCTTAAAACTGGCCCTTACAATCTCATGCATCCACCTCTTCCCTGGTAGTCCCTGGGCCTAGAGGAAGGGTATATTGCTAACAGAACAGTGCTTTGCCCCAATGGGATTTTAGAGGAAGGAGATTTGCAGGCTTTGTTGAGTTATTTCTAGTTTTCAGGATACCATTATTCTGGTTTTCTTAGAAAAAGTAAACAATGAGAGATGAATAACATTGTTAATTTTGAGTAGTACAATCAAAAGAAAATGTCTCTGACAGAATGAAAAAAAATCTTATTGAATTAGGAAGCAAAATAAAAACATCATGAAGAAAATTATGGGTCCACCATTACTGAGGCTTGAGAGGGCAGTTTTCCCCTCACAATATGAACAAAGCCACTGGGAAGTTTGGACTGGGCAGAGCCCACTGCAGTGCCTCAAAGCTGCTGTAGCCAGACTGCCTCTCTAGATTCGTCTTCTCTAGGCAGAGCATCTCTGAAAGAAAAGCAGCAGCCCCAGTCAGGGGCTTATAGATAAATCTCCCATCTCCCTGGGACAGAGCACTTGCGGGGAGGGGTGGCTGTGTGTACAGCTTCAGCAGACTTAAATATTCCTGCCTGCCAGCTCTAAAGAGAGCAGCAGATCTCCCAGCACAGTGCTCGAGCTCTGCTAAGGGACAGACTACCTTCTCAAGTGGGTCCCTGAACCCCGTGCCTCCTGATGGGGAGACATCTCTCATCAGGGGTTGACAGACACCTCATACAGGAGGGCTCTGGCTGGCATCTGTTGGGTGCCCCTCTGGGATGAAGCTTCCAGAGGAAGGAGCAGGCAGCAATCTTTGCTGTTCTGCAACCCTCAGTGGTAATACTCAGGCAAACAGGGTCTGGAGTGGACCTCCAACAAACTCCTGCAGACCTGCAGCAGAGGAGCCTCACTGTTAGAAGGAAAACTAACAAACAGTAAGCAATAGCATCAACATCAACAACAAGAAAACAACCATGCAAAAACCCCATCCAAAGGTTACCAACAGCAAAGACCAAAGGTAGATAAATCCACCAAGATGAGGAAAAACTAGTGCAAAAAAGCTGAAAACTCCAAAAACCAGAATGCCTTTTCTCCTCCAAAGGAGCACAACTCCTCACCAGCAAGGGAACAAACCAAGACTGAGAATGAATTTGACAAATTGACAGAAGTAGGCTTCAGAATGTGGGCAATAACAAACTCCATCAAGCTAAAGGAGCATGTTCTAACCCAATGCAAGGAAGCTAAGGACCTTGATAAAAGGTTACAGGAATTGCTAACTAGAACAACCAGTTTAGAGAAGAACATAAATGATTTGATGAAGCTGAAAAACACAGCGCAAGAACCTCGTGAAGCATACACAAGTATCAGTAGCTGAATCGATCAAATGGAAGAGAGGATATCAGAGACTGAAGATGAACTTAATGAAATAAAGCATGAAGACAAGAGTAGAGAAAAAAGAACGAAAAGGAAGGAACAAAGCCTCCAAAAAATATGCGACTATGTGACAAGACCAAACCTATGTTTGATTGGTGTACCTGAAAGTGATGGGGAGAATGGAACCAAGCTGGAAAACACTCTTCAGGATATTATCCAGGAGAATTTCCCCAACCTAGCAAGGCAGGCCAACATTCAAATTCAGGAGCTACAGAGAACACCACAAAGACACTCCTCAAGAAGAGCAACCCCAAGACACATAATCATCAGATTCTCCAAGTTTTAAACAGAGCAAAAAATGTTAAGGGCAGTGAGAGAGAAAGCTCAGGTTACCCAGAAAGAGAAGCCCATCAGACAAACAGCTGATCTCTCTGCAGAAACCCTACAAACCAGAAGAGAGTGGGGGCCAATATTCAACATTCTTAAAGGAAAGAATTTTCAACCCAGAATTTTATATCCAGCCAAACTAACCTTCATAAGTGAATGAGAAATAAAATCCACTAGAGAAAAGCAAATGGTGAGGGATTTTGTCATGCCCAGGCCTGTCTTACAAGAGCTCCTGAAGGAAGTACTAAATATGGAAAGGAAAAACCAGTACCAGCCACTGCAAAGACATATCAAACTGTAAAGACCATTAACACTATGAAGAAACTGCATCAACTAATGGGGAAAATAACCAGCTAGCATCATGATGACAGGATCAAATTCACACATAACAATGTTAACCTTAAATGTAAACAGGCTAATCCCCCAATTAAAAGACACAGACAGGAAAATTGGATAAAGAGTCAAGATCCATTGGTGTGTTGTATTCAGGAGACCCATCTCACATGCAAAGACACACATAGGCTCAAAATAAAGGGATTGAGGAAGATCTACCAAGCAAATGAAAAGCAAAAAACAAAACAAAACAAAACAAAAAGCAGGGGTTGCAATACTAGTCTCTGATAAAACAGACTTTAAACCAACAAAGATCAAAAAAGACAAAGAAGGGCATTACATAATGATAAAGGGATCAATGCAAGAAGAAAAGCTAAGTATCTTACATTGATATGCACCCAATACAGGAGCATCCAGATTCTTAAAGCAAGTTCTTAGAAACATACAAAGAGACTTAGACACCCACATAATAATAATGGGATTCTTTAACACCCCACTGTCAATATTAGATAGATCAATGAGACAGAAAATGAAAAAGAATACTCAGGACGTGAACTCAGTACTGGACTAAGTGGACCTAATAGACATCCACAGAACTCTCCACCTCAAATCAACAGAATATACATTCTTCTCAGCACCACATAGCACTTATTCTAAAATCAACCACATAATTGGAAGTAAAACACTTCTCAGCAAAGGCAAAAGAATGGAAATAATAACAAACAGTCTCTCAGACCACAGTGCCATCAAATTAGAACTCTGGATTAAGAAACTCACTCAAAACTGCACAACTACCTGGAAACTGAACAACCTACTCCTGAATGACTATGGGGTAAATAACGAAATGAAGGCAGAAATAAATAAGTTCTTTGAAACCAATGAGAACAAAGACACAATGTACTAGAATCTCTGGGACACAGCTAAAGCAGTGCTTAGGGGGAAATTTATAGCACTAAATCCCACAGGAGAAAGTGGGGAAGATCTAAAATTGACACAATTAAAAGAACTAGAGGAGGAAGAGCAAACAAATTCAAAAGCTAGCAGAAGATGAGAAATAACTAAAAGCAGAGTAGAACTGAAGGAGGTAGAGACACGAAAAACTCTTCAAAAAATCAATGAATTCAGGAGCTGGTTTCTTGAAAAGATTAACAAAATACATCGACTGCTAGCTGGACTAATAAAGAAGAAAAGAGGGAAGAATCAAACAGAGAAAATAAAAAATGATAAAAAGGATATCACCACTGATCCCACAGAAATACAAACTATCATCAGAGAATACTATAAACACCTCTATGCAAATAAACTAGAAAATCTAGAAGAAATGGATAAATTCATGGACACTTACACACTCCCAAGACAAAACCAGGAAGAAGTCAAATCCCTGAATAAACCAATAACAAGTTCTGAAGTTGAGGCAGTAATTAATAGCCTACAAATCAAGAAAAGCCCAGGACCAGATGGATTCAGGGCCAAATTCTACCAGAGGTACAAAGATGAGCTGGTGTCATTCCTTCTCAAACTATTCCAAACAATAGAAGAAGAGGGATTCCTCCCTAACTCATTTTATGAGGCCAGCATCATCCTGATACTAAAACCTGACAGAGACACAACAAAAAAAGAAAATTTCAGGCCAATATCATTGATGAACATCGATGCAAAAATCCTCAATAAAATACTGGCATATCAAATTTAGCAGCACATTAAAAAGCTTATCCACCACGATCACATCAGCTTTATCCCTGGGATGCAAGGCTGGTTCAACATATGCAAAGCAATAAATGTAATCCATCACATAAACAAAACCAATGACAAAAACCACGTGATTATCTCAATAGATGCAGAAAAAGCCTTCGACAAAATTCAACACACTTTATGCTAAAAACTCTCAATAAACTAGATATTGATGGAACATATCTCAAAATAATGGGAGCTATTTATGACAAACGCACATCCAAAATCATACTGAATGGGCAAAAGATGGAAGCATTCCCTTCGAAAAGGTGCACAAGACAAGGATGCCCTCTCTCACAACTCCCATTCGACATAGTATTGGAAGTTCTGGTCAGGGCAATCAGGTAAGAGAAGGATATAAAGGATATTCAAATAGGAAGAGAGGAAGTCAAATTATCTCTGTTTGCAGATGACATGATTGTTTATTTAGAAAACCCTATCATCTCAGCCCCAAAACTTTTTAAGATGATAAGCAACTTCAGCAATGTCTCAGGATAGAAAATCAATGTGCAAAAATTACAAGTATTCCTATACACCAATAATAGACAGCCAAATCATGAGCAAACTCCCATTCACAATTACTACAAAGAGAATAAAATACCTAGGAATACAACTTACAGAGATGTGAAGGACCTTTTCAAGGAGAACTACAAACCATTGCTGGAGGAAATAAGAGAGCACACAAACAAATGGAAAAACATTCCATGCTCATGGATAGGAAGAATCAATGTCTTATAAGTGGCCATACTGCCCAAAGTAATTTATAGATTCAATGCTATTCCCATGAAGCTACCATTGACTTTCTTCACAGAATTAGAAAAAAACTACTTTAAATTTCATATGGAACCAAAAAAGAGCCCTTATAGACAAAGCAATCCTAAGCGAAAAGAACAAAGCTTAAGGCATCATGCTACCTGACTTCAAACTATACTACAGGGCTACAGTAACCAAAACAGCATGGTACTGGTACCAACACAGATATATAGACCAATGGAACAGAACAGAGGCCTCAGAAATGACACTGCACATCTACAACCATCTGATCTTCAACAAACCTGACAAAAACAAGCAATGGGGAAAGGATTCTCTATTTAATAAACGGTGTTGGGAAAACTGGTTAGCCATATGCAGAAAACAGAAACTGGACCCCTTCCTTATACCTTATACAAAAATTGACTCAAGATGGAGTAAAGATTTAAATGTAAGACCTAAAACCATAAAAATCCTAGAAGATAACCTAAGCAATACCATTCAGGACATAGGCATGGGAAAAGACTTCATGTCTAAAACACCAAAAGCAATTGCAACAAAAGCCAAAATTGACAAATGAGATCTAAGTAAACTAAAAAGCTTCTGCACAGCAAAAAAAAAAAAAAAAAAAAAAAAAAAAACTATTGTCAGTGTGAACATGCAACCTACAGAATGGGAGAAAATTTTTGCAATCTCTCCATCTGACAAAGGTCTAATATCCAGAATTTACAAGGGAGTTAAACAAATTTACAAGAAAAAAAAACCTCATCAAAAAGTGGGCAAAAGATATGCACAGACATTTTTCAAAAGAAGACATTTATGCAGCGAACAAACATAAAAAATTAGAGAAATGCAAATCAAAACCACAATTAGATACCATCTCATGCCAGTTAGAATGGTGATCATTAAAAAGTCAGGTAACAATAGATGCTGGACAGGATGTGGGGAAACAGAAATGCTCTTACACTGTTGGTGGGAGTGTAAATTGGTTCACCCATTGTGAAAGACAGTGTGGCAATTCCTCAAGGATCTAGAACTAGAAATCCCATTTAACCCAACGATCCCATTACTGGGTATATACCCAAAGGATTATAAATCATTCTACTATGAAGACACATGCACACGTATGTTTATTGCAGCGTTATTCACAACAGCAAAGACTTGGAACAAACCCAAGGGCCCATCAATGATAGACTGGATAAAGAAAATGAGGCACATATATGCTTGGAATAGTATGCAGCCATAAAAAAGAATGAATTCATGTCTTTTCAGGGACATGGATGAAAGTGGAAACTATCATTCTCAGCAAACTAACAGAGAAATAGAAAACCAAACACCACATATTCTCACTCATAAGTGGGAGTTGCACAATGAGAACATATGGGCACAGGGAGGGGAACATCACACACTGGGGCCTGTCAGGAGGTTGGGGGCAAGGGGAGGGATAGCATTAGGAGAAATACCTAATGTAGGCAACAGGTTGATAGGTGCAGCAAACCACCATGGCGTATGGATACCTATGTAACAAACCTGCACGTTCTGCACATGTATCCCAGAACTTAAAGTATAATAAAAATAAATAAATAATTAAATACTTTAAAGAAAAAAGAAAATTATGAGTTTTTTCTTCTTTAATGAGTTGTCAAATAATAAAAACCAAAAACAGTGTTCAAGGCTAGAATCTAATGACAGGTATGTTATAGGTTTCTTTTGAAATACAATTTCTTTCTTTCTTTCTTTCTTTCTTTCTTTCTTTCTTTCTTTCTTTCTTTCTTTCTTTCCTTCTTCTTTCTTTCTTTCTTTCTTTCCTTCTTTCTTCTTTCTTTCTTTCTTTCTTTCCTTCTTTCTCTCTCTCTCTCTTTCTCTCTCTCTCTCTCTGGATCCCTTTTTGTACCAGATACAAATTATAATAAAACTAATTTGTGTGCAAAGTAGATTTTAGTCTGGTTAAATGTGGTCTAATTATTTGCATAAAGTGCAGCAAGAATAACGTTTTGCTTTTTTGATTGGCTTTGTTTGAACTTTTCATAAGGAATCTCTGATTTGAAAGGCCTCTCAAAGCTATTCAAGTCAGGGATTTATCAGATTGCCTGTGATACCCATACGAATTGTGTGAAGTTGTTTCTTCTCAAAGTCCCAAAATAACTTGAGATTTCTGGGCCTGTCATAAAGTGACATTCTTTACTGACCACAGGTCAGGAACCTTGTAAAGCAACTGCATAGAAAAAGTGCCAGGCCAGTCTTTCCAAGAGGCTTCCTTTCGGGTCTAAAAAGTCAACCTTAATTCCTCAAAGTAATCTGGACATATCTGAAAATATGCCATTTCTCTCACAGCCTCGGTAAAATAACAAGTCTCCAATTGATTCCTGTTATAAAAGAAAACAGATTATTATTAAACTTATATAAATAATTATATTGCCATAAATTAAGAATGTTCACAAATAGTTTCTAAATTCTGAAGAAATCAGGTAGAGAGAAAGATAAATCCTTCACATTTTTGCTTATAATAGTATACTTCACTCAATTTGTTGTAAGCTATAAATAGCTCAAAAGAAAAAAGTTTTCTTGACTCTGGAAAACAGAACACAAAAAGAATTAGCAATGTTACAACCAAGGAAGTCATAAAATTATTTCAGTCCTCTATTTGTTCAGTTTTGTGTAAGTAATTATTGTTCTGCCTGATGTTGGGTTAGCAATCCTCATAAATGCACTAGCTTTTAACTGCAGTCCTGAAAGTTTTTACCTAGTCCAATGATATGATCTCCAAAGTTATCTGAAACTTGTATTCAAGAGTACTTGTCAGAGGCCTTTCCATGAATATTCTTAAGGAAGCAAATTTTGAACTAAAATAATTAAAAGCCACTTTGTGAGAAGAATCAAAGTAAAACAATAATTATATGTGAATGACAAAGGTCTTAGAATAGCCATGGTTAAAGACTCAACTGACAAGAAAATTTGGCTATTTCTGTGGTATACAACAATTTGACATAATAATTACTAGAACATATTAAGACATCAGAATTTTAGAAATCTCATAAATTTTGGAACATATATTAATAATGCATGTCTAAAACTATAACCCAAAGAAAATTAAACACCATTTCATATTTGACAATCATTTCCATGTGATTTTAACATATCAAATAAGCCTAATGTGTCTGTGATTTCCAGGGGCTCTAATATCCAAAAAGTTAGTTTGAGGTCAAAAAGGCTGAGTTAGAATTTGAAAATTTCAATTTTGGAAAGTTTGTCAAATATCAAAGTTTTAAAACATTTGCTCAAGGTTGCCTGCTTCAAGATGGCCAACTAGATGCAGCCAGGAGGAATATCTGCCACCAAGGGATGAAAACATCAGGAAAACTGGCTTACTCCTAGCAGATCTTCAGAGGGAAAGCATTGAAAGCAGATGGAGGGAAGACACAGGTGCTGAGATGAAGGGGGAGTAAGCTCAGAACCTTGCATGGGACTATCACATACTAGGATTTGTTCCTGGCCCCCCACTAGGATTTGTTCCTGGCCCCCCACGACTCCTGTAGTGGAGTGAGTTGAACAGGCAAAGAGCAACCTGCTCTCACCATAGACCTCTCGAATCCCAGCAGGAGGAAACCCCTTGACCACTAGACATTTGAGTTGGCGGGGAGAGCTGTTCACTGAAGTGGTAGAGGCAGAACTCCAGCCAGTGTGGAGCCCAGAGGGTTTGGTGTGGAAGCGTCTGTAGTGGAGTGTGGCCAGGGACACCCATTCCCCAACGCTCCACTTGCCCCCATACAAGACTTTAACCCTAGGGAAACTGTCAGACCTGAAATCTGACAGGATGGTCTTGCCTATGAGACAGGGCCCATCTGACCTGAGCACCCCTTGGTCTGCTGCCCATTCCCAGGGCTCCAGCCTGGCTGTGTCTGCTTGCAGTGCAGCCCTCAGGTACCTCCTGGGGGCCTGCATCATAACTTCTATGCTGGCAGACTCTGCCTGACAGGCAGAGTGCTCCAGTAGAGTGGCCCCTATAGACACGCACCAGCCTGCCTGCACCCTCCTTCCACTGCAGCCTCCCATGTGCCACTTTGCCAGCATGTACTCACCCACAGCTATTCCTCACGTTGTTTTGCCAGTGCCACTGTGCACAGGAGGACCTTGCCTTCCCATCCCTGTCAGCACATGTGTGCACATGCATTCTGCTATTCTATGGCTGCTGGTGTGCTTGCATCCTGCCATCCCTCCCCTGATCTGCACTGCCATCATCATTGGATCATTGTCGGACACAGAGCTTGCCAGCCCTGTCTCCACTGGCACCTAGACCCTGCTCTGACATTGCCATCAGTGTAAAACTAGGCGTGGAGAACAGTAGACCTGTCCCTGCCCTGAGTGACCACCACCACCACCTGTGCAAATGTGTATGAAGGGCACACACAGTCCTGGGCCCCCAGTGCCCCACTCCTGTGCTAACACTACCACCAGTGTGAACCCTTATACAGTGGCTTTCAGAGGCCTCCTGGATCCCCAAACTATGATGCCACTGCCACTGCTGCAAGCACCTGCAAAGAAGCTGGCACCCTGACACTGCTAGGAACCTGCCACAGCCAAAGAGTGTGCACACCACTGTTCTGCTGCTGCTGCTAATATATGTGAAATAGAACGGATCCTGCTGCCACTGCCCTAAAAAGTGCTTTGGCTGGCACCACTCATTGGAGTGTTGTTACCAGCAGTTCAGGAGGAACTAGGCCCCTCCTGCACAACAGGTTTCTAACCTCGAGGAGCCAGAGAACAAAACTAGGGCTTGATACCAGTCTCCCAGAGTTAGAGCATGCAGTCCAGAAGTCCTGGGCTGAGCCTTGGCCACCTAAAATCTTCCAGAAATGAAGCCAGTTGACTGATCTCACTTTATACCACAAACAAATCCCAAAGATCATCAAATAGGATAAAAGAAAAAAACCATCCAAAGGAAAGCAACTTCAAAAATCTAAGGAATATGAGCCCACAAAGATGAGAAAGAACTAGCATAAGAACTCTGACAACTCAAAAATCCAGAGTGTTTTATTTTCTCCAAATAATTGCACCAGTTCTCTAGCAAGGGTTCTTAACTGGCATGAGGTGACTGAAATGACAGGAATAGAATTCAGAATACGGATAGGAATGAAGATTTTGGAGATTTAGGAGAGTGTTTAAACAAAATCTAAGGAAGCTAAGAATCATGATAAAACGATACAGGAGCTGACAGAAAAAATAACCACTATAGAAGAGAATGTAACCGACCTGATAGAGCTGAAAAACCCACTACAAGAATTTCAGAATGTAATTGCAAGTTTAAACAGCAGAATAGACCTAATTGAGGAAAGAATCTCAGAGTCTGAAGACTGACTTTCTGAAAGGAGGCAGTCAGACAAAAATAAAGACAAAAGAATGAAAAGGAACAAATAAAATCTCCAAGACATGTGGAATTATGTAAAGAGGCTAAATCTATGACTTGTTGGCATTCCTGAAAGATGAGGAAAGTATAAGCAACTTGGAAAACATATTTCAGGATATCATTTATGACAATGCTCCCAACCTAGCTAGAGAGGCCAATATTCAAATTAAGGAAATGCAGAGAACCCTGAAAAATACTTCACAAGAAGATCATCTCTCAGACACATAATCATCAGATTCTCTGAGGTTGAAATGAAAGAACAAATGTTAAAGGCAGCTAGAGAGAAAGGGCAGGTCACCTAAAAAGGAAGCCCTTCAGACTACCTACAGAGTTCTCAGCAAAACCCTACAAACTAGAAGAGTCTGGGGGCCTATGTTCAACATTGTTAAAGAATAGAAATTCCAACCAAGATTTTCATATCCAGTCAAACTAAGCTTCATAAACAAAGGAGAAATAAGATCTTTTTCAGAGAAGCAAATGCTGAGGGCATTCTTTACCACCAGAGCTGCCTTACAAGAGCTCCTGAATGAAGCACTAAATGTGGAAAGGAAAGATTACCAGCCTCTACAAGAAAACACACTTAAATACACAGACTAGTGACACTATAAAGCAACTACACAAACAAGTTAGCATAACAACCAGCTAATGACACAATAACAGGATCAAATCCACATGTGTCCACATTAACCTTGAATGTAAATGGGCTAAATGCCCCACCTAAAAGGCACAGAATGGAAAGCTTGATAAAGATGCAAGACCCAATGGTATGCTGTCATCAAGAGAGTCATCTCACATGCAATGACACACATAGGCTTAAAATAAAGAAGTGGAGAAAAATCTACTAAAAGCAAATAGAAAACAGAAAAAAGGAGGGGTTGCAACCCTAATTTCAGAAAAAAAGAACATTAAACTAACAAAGATTAAAAAAAGACAAAGAAGGGAATTACATAATGGTAAAGACTTCAATTCAAAAAGAAAATCTAGCTATCCTAAATATATATGCACTCAACACAGGAGCACAGAGATTCATAAAGCAAGTTCATAGAGACCTTCAAAGAGACTTCAACTCCCACACAATAATAGTGGGAAACTTCAGTACCCCACAAACAATATTAGACAGATCACTGAGGGAGAAAATTAGCAAACATATTTAGGAACTGTACCCAACATTGGACCAAATGAGCCTGATAAACATCTACAGAACTCTCCACAAAAACACAATTGAATATACATTCTTCTCATTACCTCATGGCACATACTCTAAAATCAATTGGACATAAAACAATCCTCAACAAATGTAAAATAACTGAAATTATACCAACCACTCTCTTAAATTGTAGAGCAATAAAAATAGAATTCAAGACTAAGAAAATTGCTCAGAAGCATGCAACTACATGGAAATTAAACAACCTGCTCCTGAATGGCTTTTAGATAAACAATGAAATTAAGGCAGAAATCAAGAAGTTCTTTGAAACTAATGAAAACAAAGATATAGCATGGTGGAATCTCTGGGACACAGCTAAGGTAATGTTAAAAGGGAAATTTATAGCACTAAATGCGCATATCAAAAGATAGAAAGATCTCAAATTAACAACCTAACACCACAACTAAAAGAACTAGAGAAGCAAGAGCAAACCAACCACAGTGCTAGTAGAATACAAGAAATAATCAGTGCTGAACTGAAGGAGAATGAGACATGAAAAACCATTCAAAATGTTAATGAACCCAAGAGCTGATGTTTTGATACAATTAATAAGATAGATAGACCACTAGCTACACTAATGAAGAAAAGAGAGAAGATTCAAATAAACACAATTAGAAACAAAAAAAGGGGATATTACTACTAAATCCTCAGAAATGCAAACAACCATCAGAAACTACTATGAACACCTCTAGGCACATAAACTAGAAAATCTAGAAGAATTGAATAAATTCCTGCACACATACACCCTCCCAAGACAGAACCGGGAAGAAACAGGATCCCTGAACAGACCAGTAATGAGCTCCAAAATGAAATCAGTAACAAATAGCCTGCCAACCAAGAAAAGCCCAGGACAAAATGGATTCACAACCAAATTCTGCCACATATATAAAGAGCTGGTACCATTCCCACTGAAACTATTCCAAAAAAATTAAGGAAGAGGGATTCCTCCCCAGTTCTTTCTATGAGACCAGAATCATCCTGATACCAAAAACTGGCAGAGACACTACAAAAAAAGGAAACTTCAGGCCAGTATCTCTGAGGGACACTGATGCAAAAATCCTTAACAAAATACTGGTAAGCTAAATCCAACAGCACATCAAAAAGCTAATCCACCATGGTCAAGTAGGCTTTATCCCTGGGAAGCAAGGTTGGTTCTACATACACAAATCAATAAATGTAATTAATCGCATAAACAGAACTAAAGACAAAAACCACATGATTATCTCAATAGACACAGAAAATGCTTTTGATAAAATGCAACATTCCTTCATGTCAAAAACTGTGAATAAACTGGGTATTGAAGGAACATTCATCAAAATAATAAGAACCATCTATGACAAACCCACAGCCAACAGTATACTAAAAGGGCCAAAGCTGAAATCATTCCCCTTAAAAACCCACACAAGACAAAGATGCCATCTTTCACCAGTCTTATTCAATATGGTCCTGGAAGTCCTAGCCAGAGATCAGGCAAGAGAAAGAAATAAGATTGGATAAAGAAAATGTGTTACATATACATCATGGAATACTATGCAGCCATAAAAAAGAATGAGATCATGTCCTTTGCAACAACGTGAATGGAATTGGAGGCCATTATCCTTAGCAAACTAATGCAGGAACAGTAAAGCAAACACTGCATGTTCTCACTTATAAGTGGAAGCTATATGATGAGAACACACGGACAGAGGGGAACAGTAGACATTGGGGCCTACCTTAGGGTGGAGGATGGGAGGAGGGAGAGGAGCACAAAAGATAACCAATGGGTACTAGGCTTAATACCTGGGTGATGAAATAATCTGTACAACAAACCCTCGTAACACGAATTTACCTATATAAAAAACCTGCACATGTATGCCTTAACCTAAAATAAGAGTGTTTTTAAAACCTACTTGCTAAAAATAGGATCCCACTTGTTCTTCCCCATCTTCACTCTCCATCCTCCATCAAGCCCCTCAAATCAATAAATATTCCACTTTAAAGTATCATAAGGCTATTCCAGTCATGGCATGGTACTGCTGAATCATATGGTGACTTGCATTCAAAATGTCTGATCTGGAATCCTTATGAGGATAGAGTTACTTTAATATCATAGGTCACTGTGATATAATAGTCATTTATTTAGCCAAAGTGATAACCAAAATATTTCAAAAAGCAAAAACCTTTACTCTTTGATAGGGAGGAGACTCAGTTTCCTAAACAATCATAAGACCTAATAAAGGCACTGAGTATCAGAAGTAGTATGGCAGCTAGAGTTTTATGATCTTAAAACATCCAGCAGAAAGATTATAAACCTTCCTGACCAAGACAAATGTGTCTAAATTAAATTTTGAAGACATTTCTATTTTAACAACAATTTAAAAACTATATTTATCAAAGACTGCTAAAATCACATAAACTTGAAAAAAACTGGACTTATTTATTTCATTTATGAGTACTCCTTTGTTTATAAGCCAATTTGATATCACAGTAAATACATAAAAACATACTCACATGTGCACATAAAAATACAGAGAGAAGCAAAGATACCCAGCCTTGATTTTAAAACTCTAGCCATGAAACTGGCAGAACTCACTCATCCTAAAAGACATCTGGATTAAGCTTATGTCCCTGCAAATTGAATAAGTCAATGCCCACTTGTCCCTGACAACTCAAGCCCTCACCTAACCCCAGAGGAAACAGGGTAGCAATCCACATCTCAAAGGGGTCAGGGGAGAGAGAGAAAGTCCACGCTCCTTTAAGAAGGAATTTGTGTGTGTGTGTGGTAGAGAAAGATCAAAAAAGGATGCCAAAACAATGCAAAATTATAGGAATTCACCATAGGATTTCACAAGGAGATCAACTTCATTTAAGATAGGTAACTTTTACTGCAGTCTGTTTCTTCAACTTGACTACTGAGCCCAGGGTGGAGCCCATCAAGGAACAGGGCCAAAAAATTACTTGTAATTTGTAAACCCTAACAATTTACACAGTTGAAAAGCAGAACACCCAGACTTTTAAAATCGAGGACTTCTACACTGAATCTCAGGTCCTCAAAAAGAGAGAAATGCCATAGGACCAGGCCATGCAATGTCTCTATATGCTTCCTGTTATAAAGATAAGCCTCTAAGTGCTCAGACTACGCCATTCCTATTCAGATGTGCAAAGAAACAGGCATGCCCTTGCAGCAACATTTACCACAAACAACTTTTGTCAGCAACCTCTGCTGCACAAAAGCTTCTGCACAGCGAAAGAAACTACCATCAGAGTGAACAGGCAACCTACAAAATGGGAGAAAATTTTCACAACCTACTCATCTGACAAAGGGCTAATATCCAGAATCTACAATGAACTCAAACAAATTTACAAGAAAAAAACAAACAACCCCATCAAAAAGTGGGCAAAGGACAGGAAAAGACACTTCTCAAAAGAAGACATTTATGCAGCCAAAAAACACATGAAAAAATGCTCCCCATCACTGGCCATCAGAGAAATGCAAATCAAAACCACAATGAGATACCATCTCACACCAGTTAGAATGACGATCATTAAAAAGTCAGGAAACAACAGGTGCTGGAGAGGATGTGGAGAAATAGGAACACTTTTACACTGTTGGTGGGACTGTAAACTAGTTCAACCATTGTGGAAGTCAGTGTGGCGATTCCTCAGGGATCTAGAACTAGAAATACCATTTGACCCAGCCATCCCATTACTGGGTATATACCCAAAGGACTATAAATCATGCTGCTATAAAGACACATGCACACGTATGTTTATTGCGGCACTATTCACAATAGCAAAGACTTGGAACCAACCCAAATGTCCAACAATGATAGACTGGATTAAGAAAATGTGGCACATATACACCATGGAATATATGCAGCCATAAAAAATGATGAGTTCATGTCCTTTGTAGGGACATGGATGAAATTGGAAATCATCATTCTCAGTAAACTATTGCAAGAACAAAAAACCAAACACCGCATAGTCTCACTCGTAGGTGGGAATTGAACAATGAGAACACATGGACACAGGAAAGGGAACATCACACTCTGGGGACTGTTGTGGGGTGGGGGAGGGGGAGGGATAGCATTAGGAGATATGCTTAATGTTAAATGACGAGTTAATGGGTGCAGCACACCAGCATGGCACATGAATACATATGTAACTAACCTGCACATTGTGCACATGTACCCTAAAACTTAAAGTATAATAATAATAAAATAAAATAAATGAAATCATAAACATATTCAATCCCCAAAGAAGGCAGAAATATAGGAAAAAGGAAACAAAGAACAGGTGGGACAAAACAAATAGCAAGATGATAGATTTAAACCCAACTATGTCAGTAATCACACAGCATGCAAAGGATCTAAATACTCCCATTAGAAGCAGATTTTCAGGTTGGATTAAAAAAGCAAGACACCAACTGTATCTTGCCTAAAAGAAACCCACTCTTAATATAAAAACACAAATAAGTTAAAAGTAAAAGAATGGAAATAGATACGTCATCATAACACTAATAAGAAACAGCCGAAGTGACTATATTACTGCCAAAGTTGATTTCAGAGCAAATATTACTAAAGAACATAACTTCATAATGAGAAAGAAGTTAGTCAAAAGGACATAACAATACTCAACTATTATGCCTCTAATAACAGAGGTTCAAAATACATGTAGCAAAATTTGATAGACCTGTGGGAAGAAATAAGCAAATCCAAAATAATAGAGATTTCAACACTCCTCTCTCAAAAAAGTAGACAGAAAATTAGTTTATAGGAGACTTGATCACACTATCAACCAAATTAATCTGATTGATATTGATAGAATATTCCACTGAACAATAGCAGAATACCCATTATTTTTAAGTGCACATGAGATATTTACTAAGATAGAACATATTCCAGGCAACAAAAAAGTCTCAATGAATGTAGAAGCATCAAAATAATACAAAGCCTATCCCAGACAATAACAAAATTAAATTAGAAATCAGTAACAGAAATATATCTGGAAAATCCCCAAATATTTGGAAACTAAGTTACATTTTCTAAATAATCTGTGGGCCAAAAACTAGGTCAAAAGGAAAATTAGAAAGCATTTTAAATGAGTGAAGAACACAGCATATGAAAATTTGTGGGATTCAGCTAATGCAATATTAGAAAGAGATTTATAGCTCTAAATGCTTGTAATAGAAAAAAAAGAAAAAATTTATATCAATGACATCAGTTTCCACATTAAGAAATAAGAAAAAAGAGCAAATTAAACTCAAAGTAAGCACAAGAAATAAAGATCAACATGGGAATCAGTAAAATAGAACACAGAAAAATATTTTAAAAAATGAAAAAATCCAAAGCTGTTTTGTTAAAAAGATCAATAAAATTGGCAAACTTCTATCCAGGTGTATAAGAAAAAATATGGAGAAAGTATAAAATATCAATTATTACATCACTAAAGATTCTATATAAATTAAGATCATAATAAGGGAATATCATGGAAAACTTTAGGCCAATAAATTCAACAACTTTGAGGAAATAGAGAAGTTTCTTGAAACTACCAAAGTTCACTTAAGAAGAAATACATAATCTGAACATTCCTATATTATTAGGTGTTGCAGGAAGTCAGGGACCCCGAATGGAGGGACCGGCTGGAGCTGCAGCAGAGGAACATAAATTTTGAAGATTTCATTTTAATATGGACATTTATCAGTTCTCAAATAATACCTTCATAATATCTTATGCCTGTCTTTAATCTCTTAATCCTGTTATCTTCGTAAGCTGAGGATGTATGTCACCTCAGGATCACGGTGATAATGGTGTTAACTGTACATATTGATTGTAAAACGTGTTTGAACAATATGAAATCAGTCCACCTTGAAAAAGAACAGAATAATGGCAATTTTTAGGAACAAGGGAAGACAACCATAAGGTCTGACTGCCTGTGGGGTCAGGCAAAAAAAGCCATATTTTTCTTTTTGCAGAGAGCCTATAAATGGACATGCAAGTAGGAGACATATCACTGAATTCTTTTCCTGGCAAGGAATATTAATATTAATATTAATACCCTGGGAAAGGAATGCATTCCTGGGGGGAGGTCTATAAATGGCCGCTCTGGGAATGTCTGTCTTATGCAGTAGAGATAAGGACTAAGATACTCCCTGGTCTCCTGCAGTACCCTCAGGCTTACTAGGATGGGGAAAACTCTGCCCTGGTAAATCTGTGGTCAGACCAGTTCTCTGCTCTTGTACCCTGATTTCTGTTGTTTAAGATGTTTATCAAGACAATACGTGCACCGCTGAACATAGACCCTTATTAGTAGTTCTGCTTTTGCCCTTTGCCCTGTGATCTTTGTTGGACCCTTATCAGTAGTTCTGCTTTTGCCCTTTGTCCTGTTCCCTCAGAAGCATGTGATCTTTGTTAGACCCTTATTAGTAGTTCTGCTTTTTGCCCTTTGAAGCATGTGATCTTTGTACCTACTCCCTATTCTTGCACCCCCTCCCCTTTTTAAAACCCTTAATAAAAACTTGCTGGTTTGAGGCTCAGGGGGGCATCATTGTCCTACCAATATGTGATGTCACCCACGGCGACCCAGCTGTAAAATTCCTCTCTTTGTACTGTCTCTCTTTATTTCTCAGCCAGCTGACACTTAAGGAAAATAGAAAGAACCTACATTGAAATATTGGGGGTGGTTTCCCCCAATAGTTAGGGAAACATTGTGTTCATGAGAGAAGCATTCTTTCCTTGGGAACTGAGGCCAACATAACCCAAAGCTGTGGGAAAGGGAAGCCACAATTTCACATGGCTCATTAGGATCAATAGTGGGAAGATCCATTCTGATATCAAACATTGGTTCTGCTCTTTCTATCATAGAAGTGGATACATGCCCCCCGGTGGCCAACTGATCTCCCTGGGATATGGTGTTGGATCAAAGGCTCAGTGTTGGTCTTAGCTCTTATTAGTTTGGTCACTTAACAGTGGCTGTAGCCAGCTTGGCCTCAGAGACTGGGAGTCAAAATTGCTGCATTCATGCATAACCCCCATCCCTACCACCATGTGATGAGCCTATTAAGCAAGGACAGGTGTGGCTGGGAGAAGAGGCTGGCTGATGTGCACAGAATTGGGTATATTAATTAATATCCTTTTCTGAATTCTCTTTAATCAGTGTTAATATGAGGTACACATGTCTGTACATTTCATGCTCTTCAGAGATGTCCATCTGTATCTCTCTCCTCTGACCTCAGTCCTCAAAACTGCATTACTACAGTCCATTATCATCCCTTTTGTTGGGGTCCAGCCTCAACACTACCTGCGGGTACCCAAAGTCTGGTGGCAACAAAGGAATGAGAAAAGACAAGTTAAGATTTAAAGTAGGTCCAGGGGGCCAGTTGCTGGAGGGAAGGCTGCAAAAGGCCCAGAGCTCTGGCTGCCTGACAATTTATTGAGTACAATTTTTTGATCTAAGAAGGGGATGGTACAGGGTGAAATGGTGAAGGAGGGGTACGTGTGTCATTCGGTTGTGAAAGATCTATAGCAGTGACGGTTAAGTGAATTTCCTTTAAGCTAAAAGCATATGTCTAACTACTGAGATAATCTTTAACTTATTGGGCTGCAGCTGGTAGGAGTTGGTTTTACAAAAAGTCAGGATGTCTGGTCACATTCCAGTGCTCAAGGGAGTGTTTCAGCCATGCTCACTGGCATGGGGACACAATGGCAATAAGGAGATGTTTCTCCTCAGGGGCCCCCTATGGTATTCCATAGGTGTCCTACACAGGGGTGACTGGCTAAACTGGCACCCCATAATCCCTTCCACCAGCACTTGCCCCCCGCTTTTTTTAATTAATAACTGCCATTTCTATCATGGCTTGCTTGTGGTGTCTGGCTTCTCTCCCAAGGCATCTTTTGCACCTGTAGACTAAAAATAAGCAGCATAGACAAACAGAAATTAAAGCAAAGTTTGTAGCAGTTGATTCTCCAATGGTTTTAATCCATTTCAGAGGATTCAGGTCAGAGAGCCCATCAACAGCTCCATTAAGGGCATCAGCACCAGGTAAGAGAGTTAAGTGGGCTTGAGATGCCTCAAAAACTTGTTCCTTTAATTTTCTTATGTCCAGTGTTAGATTTTCCTCTCTTCCTTCTAGATAGTGTTTAACCTTTTCCCAATGATGCACAGAGGCATTATAAGATTGAGGAGTAATACAAAAATCAGAAGTATTCCAATCACACTGTATTTGTATTCTATGTTCCAGGTTTATAATTCAATCCCCCATTCATGGTACTGTTTGATGGAGATCATTAATCTGATTAGCTAATTTTTGATCAATTTGTTTCTGGGTATTCCAAAGCTTAGAAGAATTCTTTTGCCACTGGTTAACATAATCAGCAGTTTGAACAGAAGAATGTAAGCAACACCTGTGGCTGCTGTCGTGGCTGTTACAGCTATGGTACCCATAATAACTGCAATAAGAGTGAAAATAAACCTTTTTGTTCAATTAAGCATTCCCTTTAGTATTTCAGTGACAATATGAATGGAAAGGGAAGCTTTCCAAGGTCTATTAAGGGAAACAGGTATCCAAACTCCCTCTCAGGCTCTGACAAGCAAGATACTATTATTCTTATCAAATGTAGAGTCAATGCAAGTGAAAAGATGACAGCCAAGACATGATATAGTTTGAAAATCAGGTAAAATATTGATTTGTCCTACTGCCAACATAAGAGGAGGTTTAACACAACCCTGTAATGGGACATCTGATTAGAGGACTAAGCTACAACAAATTGAAGTTTTTTACTATGGGTTTCTGTTTTATATTCTCCTTTTCAAATCCATATTGGGGTTTGAACCATCATTAATTTCTACAGTTCTGGGTGTTCTGAACCTACTATTGGATCAATCATTTTAGGGCATGGAGGAACCATATCACTGCCTTCCCAGAAGACAGGAAAGTCGGCTTCTATTCTATACTTTTGGGTAGGTGCCTTTTCGGAATAGTCAATTGGCAAGCTGCGCTCTTGACATCCCTTGTGCTGTCCAGTACAATTTACTGCAAATTGCCCCTTAGAGGTCCAGTCAATAACGATTCCATAGGAGTTATTTTGCAGTACCACAGCACTATTTGCAATGCAATCTTCCCAAGTCAGCACCTCAGCTTCCTTAGACCATAATGTCAATTGTTCTGGGCATTTTTTCTTTCTTGGCCTAAATTGATTAGTAAGAATATTAGCTATACGATAGGAATTTCCTGAGGATATGACTTTTGTTTTAGATTGAAAGCTCCTTCCACTAACTATATGAATAGAGGCCTCTGATCCATTATGTGCAGGGACATAAACCATCCAGCTTTGTTTGTCATAATCTAAACATCCTGCTGCAGGCCCCAGACATATAGAAGGAAAGCAATACCAATGGACACATTTATTAACATACCTTCCTCCTCTGGATGAGTAGGGCCTTGGTTATCAGTTGGTCCGGGCATCCAAACACTATTATTAACATAAACCTCAACTGGGGAGTTCAGCCAAGTAAGAGGTCTAATCAGTGGAGGGAATGGAATGTAATCCCAATAGGTATAATTTTGATCAGCCTCAGCTACAGGGAGACTCACTGCCAGGGTAATTACCACCATCATAGCTACCAGCAGATTGCAGGAGGTCCACGGTTTGTCCTGAGACTTCAGGTCCTCTTCTGCAAGCTGGGTCAATCTCTTAATCTGCCCCCAGGTCGGTGGAGTTGACTGGTGAGTCTTGCTGGTCACCTTCTGCTCAGCAGAAATCTTCATTTGAGCCATCAGGCAAGTTGGGAGTGCAAAGTTCCGAGGTCTTCTCCTCTTCCTTGGATTCTGACTCACGGCACAGCTTAAGATGTCTTGTAGGCACCCAGAGAGGAAGCTGATTTTCTCCTGGTGAAATACAAGAAAACCCTCTACCCCATGTAATGATTCTCCCCTCTTCCCAGGTCTTTGTTCTGACATCTTTCCACCACACAAGGTTTCCTTCATGGGGATTTATTTTTTGCCCTGTTAGATGCTGCTCTGCTGCAGTTGTAAACTGATCTCTGGACAAGTTCAAAAAATTTAAAATAATAAGAGCCAGTTGTAGCTGCATATAGGGAGTGGAGTATTCCCCCCTCTTTGCCTTTTGTTTTTGTAATTGAGTTTTTAAAGTTCTGTTTGCAAGTTCAACAATGGCCTGTGCTTGAGAATTATAGGGTATGCCAGTACTATGTCGAACACCCCATTGTTGTAAGAATGTTTCTAAAGATTTAGTGCAGTAGCCTGGCCCGTTGTCTGTTTTAAGTTCCTGTGGAATGCCCATAACAGCAAAACAAGAAAGCAAATGTCTTTTTATACGTGCTGTAGCTTCACCAGTTTGGCAGGTAGCCCACATGAATTTTGAAAATGTATCAACACTTACAGGAACGTAAGAAAGTTTACCAAATTTAGGAATGTGGGTAACGTCAGTTTGTCAGATTTTGTTAGGTGCCAACCCTCTAGGGTTAACACCAGTTCCTTGATGTGGTAATTGTAATACTTGGCACTGAGGACAATGTTGTACAATGTCCTTTGCTTGTCTCCAGGTGATTTGATATTTCTGTTTAAGTCCTGCTGCATTAACATGTGTTAAGGAGTGAAAGTCTTGGGCATCTGTGAGTACAGGAGAAACTAATAAATCAGCTTGATTATTAGCCCTTACAAGGGGCCCAGGGTGATTAGTATGTGTTTGGATGTGTGTAATATGAAAAGGAAAACCTTGATGATGCACCACCTTCTGTAAGGAAGAAAACAGTTGATAAAGTTGTTCATCAACAATGTACTTAATTAATGCAGTTTTTATGTTTAGAGTGGCTTGAACAACGTAAGCCGAACCAGAGACAATATTTACAGGCTGATTAAAATCTTTCAACACAGTTATAACTGCCTGTAATTCAGCCCTCTGAGCTGAATGGAAATTAGTATGAATAATTCAATTTTTAGGTCCTACACAGGCTGCCTTTCCAGAACTAAAGCCGTCTGTAAATACAGTCACTGCTCCTTCTAAGGGAGCATTATGGGTAATTTTTGGCAGAACTCATGTAGTTAATTTTAAAAACTGAAAAATCCTATTTTTTGGATAATGATTGTTAAGGTTTCCTATGAATTCAGCTTGCCAATTAACTTGCCAATAAATTTACTTGCCAATTAAAGGAGTTAATAAAAACCTGTCGAATCTGGTTTTTGTTCATTGGAACTATAAAAAGACCATTCAACCAAGTCCTCACTCTGAGCAATAACCCCTGTAGGTGAATGGAGCTTGTTGTATTTTTTCCTCAATCATTAGTGCTGGTTGTAAGCCACAGATTGTAATAGGGAATGAACATAAGGAGAATTTGGCCCACATTGTCCAATTGCTTGCCTTAAGTCTTTCAATATTTTAAAAGGGAATGGCTCCCAGTGTGACTGAGCATGTCCAGGCTGCTCCTCTGGTATGACAGTCACCAGAAACTGCCAAGCATCCAAGTCCCCACTTTCTCGTGCCTGATGAATGGAAGCCTGAATTGTCCCATATTTAACGTTGGGAGGAGCCTGAAGCATCTCTTTGGAATAATTAACAGGTGGACAAGTCTGAATTTTTAACCGTAATTAACTGGTGGCTGAGTCTGATTTTTACCATAGTTAACGGCAGGTTGTGCAATAACAGGTGCCGCAAACGGCATCTCAGGCTCCCATGCCTGCAGTTCACAAGGCTTAGGTGGGGGTGGCCATTCCGGAGCTTCCCCTGAGGGTGCAGTAGGTTGAACTGTCTCTTTCATATGTTTTTGGAGGTTAGCATACATAACCTCCTGATTCTCCCCCTTTTTTAACTGGAGCTAGATGTTGAGGTGATCAGGCCCAACCCCTTTAATGCCTGCATGATCTCGTTCCCATTCCTGATATTAATAACTTGTATACTGTATGTTTTGCCCCTTTTCTTGATTTATGTAGATAGAGGCTTATCAATTTTATTAATTATTTCCAAAGAATTCATGTTTGATTTTATTGGTTTTCTCTATTTTTTTTTTCTGTTTCAAGATTTCTTCCCTTTAGTATTTCCTTCATCCTCCTTACTTTAGGTTCAATTTGCTGTTCCTTTTCTAAATTTTTAATGTGGTATCACAAATTATTGTTTTCATTTCTGGATCTTTAATGTAGACATTTTTGTCTACACATTGCTTTATTGTTAAAGCATTAGATGAAACGTGGTGCTCACTGCAAATGTAGTCCCTAACAGAGAACTTTCCTACTGCAGTGATCCCTGTAACCTGAATAAAGATTCCCTAAGTAATGATCCAGTGCTTTAATAGTACTAAAAATAAATACTATATTTTGCATCAATTTCTGTAATTAAATAGAATAATATATACCTTCTAGCCAGGTTTAGGCTTCAGAAACAAAATATAATCCTAGTCTTTTAAGGTATCTCAGTTCAGAATCGCGGAGATGCTTTCTCATGCTGCCTGTTCTTTTGGACTTGCCTTCGTTTGCCTGTCAAACCAAGGGACCAAGTGGTCTTTGTTATTTAAGTCATGTTGCTCTGGAATGTAAATTATCCTTACTGTTGGTGCAAGATGTATTCCATTGCCTTGTTCTGCTTTTTAGTGTAGCCATCCTGTGCTTGTATACCCAGGGCCAATCACATTCTATCCTCAAAGAAATGTATGTCTTTCTCTTACAGTTCTCTTTAGAATTATTAGCAATTTTATAATTACTAAAGTGCTATGTAATTCTAAATAAGGTCTCAGCTGTGGGGTATAATGGTAAATTGAGACCCCTTTTACAATGGAAAAATAACTGGTTATAACGGTGAGCTGGGACCCCATTACAATACTCTCAAAGTTTCCATTTTAGTGGTAAGTAGTGTCAGATGTCAGTGTTTAGAATATTTCAGTGGTTCCAGGACCATCTCAGGAGGTGAATTTTGGGCCCATCCTAGTCAGTCCAGTGAAAGTCATTTACTCTCTTTTGCTTCTAGCAGATGACTCATGGACATACCCTGGAAATAAGGACACACTGTGGACTCAGAGGACATACCTGAGGTACTGGGAGAAAGGGGTATGGGGGCTTAGCTGGGAGGCCTGTTGTGCTGAGCAGGGGTTCAGGGGCTCAAGGGTCTTTCAGAATAACTGATAACTCTCTAGTTTTGGCCCAGAAGTTTCTTCCAGAATGTCACAGCATGACCCATGTTTTTTGTCTCACTGCAGAGCCTTTGCAAGGTTCAGTATGGTAGCCACCAGGCATACCAAGCTGAATATTCCTTCTTTCCTTCTGGGGAAAATGCCTGGTGCAAGTTGTTCTGCCTGACTTTGCCTTTTAGAATTCTGACAATGGAGTAGCTATTTAACTTTAAATAAATTGAAACAAAATAAAATTTAAAATTCAGAACTGCAATCACACTCGTCACATTTCAAGCGCTCAGTAGTCACGTGTGGCTAAGGGTCACCATCTTGGACAGCACAGAACAACCCCATCCCTGCAGAAAGTTCTATTAGAGCTGCTGGATGATCAGGTGGGCAGGTCCCTTGCACAAGTAAATCTGGACAGCTCCTCCCCTCACTTCCTCTCTTCTCCTGTTTCTCAACATCCTGGCTTAGTATTGTGTGCAAAATCAGAGAGGGGTGCAAGATCCTGATTTTTCAGGTAAGGGAATAGGGGTGTGTGTGGTGGGGGTCGGGACGAATGTGCGATTTTGGTGAGGAGGGACCTGTATCTTAAATCGTCTGGTAAACATGTTTTCAGACTATATTCTCGCTGGTTCCCGTTTCCTGGCTTTGCTAATTTTAGGCTGTGATCTGTTTTCAAGGCTGAGCCCTACAAATCAATGCCTCTTCCAGAGATTGCTGCTCAGAGGATACTTGTTTTACAAATAAATGTTTCCTCTCGCTGGTTGTGGAATTTATATAGAAACTTTGATTCTTCCAGGGATAAAGTTGGGTGAGCGGACAGAATTAGCTCTGGGGGAGCTGGTGGGAAGAGGAACATTGGGATGTGTAAGGGGCACAGCTCCATATGTGGCCCCACAAAGACTGCACCCAGGTCAGGATTGGAGGCTCTGCAGTCTGAGGTCTTGTTACAGGGTTAACTGTCTGCTCGGAGCTGCCCGTTAGGGAAACTGTCTCCTCAGGGACAGTCCTGGGTTTACTGGGCATTGAGCTCCCCTTTAGCGGGTAGGAGGAGGGAGATGCCACCTGGTGTGACTCTCTACAGTTCAGGAGAAGCTGGATGCTGATGGGTGCTTGTTCCTTAGGCAGAGAGAGGAGAATTCAGCCACCTGAAGTCAGCACCTACAGAAGCACAGTCTCCTGGCTTTGCCTCTGAATTATTAACAGCAGAGCAGCATTAAAGAGCCCACACACTAGAAGGAGGATATGAAGAAACACCCAGAGAATGTCACAAAAACCCAGAATGTCACAGTATTGTTTTCTTCTTGCTGGTGTCCTATCCTCTCTCCTAACACCAGCCACCAAAGCTGATTTTTAAAAAATGCCATGATTTCTCTTGTTTACAAGAAGCTGTTTCCTATACCCTATTCTTGAAGGATAAAGAAATAGTCATTCAAAAGAAATATCTGGCTTTTCACAGTGTTTCATATTTGTTGGCTTCCTATGAGGTGACTCTGTCTTTAACAACTACCATTTTCTGCCTGTTTTGTTCAAAGTCTGCTCCAATAAGAGTTCTTCAAATATCTTTCTCCATTGCAAAATGTTTGTAGGTAGCAATGAAATAAAACATTTAAAATTAATACCATGTTTCTATAACACTACATATTAATTAATAAAGGAATGGATTGTCATTTTCACAGATCAGATGTGGGCTGGACATAATGATCAATCAAAGGCAAGAAGCAGGGAGATTATCCATTTATTTATTTAACAATGATCGATAACCATTCTTTGCCCAGTATTGTGCTTGTCCCCAGGGAATAATGAGAAATACAAGACATATGTGGTCTTCTCATCACAAAGCTTGTAGTATAAGAGGAGACAGTAAAAAAATCAAGCAATTAACTTCCTAAAGTAATACATATTCTGTAAGAAGCCTCTGGGGTGCAGTGGATCATAACAGAGGGTGTTGCTGGTAGACAGTGGTGTTGGGGAAGACTCTCTGGAGAGCCGAGGCCTGCGGGTTGAGCAGGAACAAGCTGGGCACTAGGTTGGAGGGTGAGTGCTCCAAAGAGAAGGAATGATAACTGCAAAGGCCTTGAAGGTGGAAGGAGCCTAGATTTCCAGAACATTGAGGGTAGTGTGGCTCACACATAGGAGAGAGGAGAGAGCTGATCACACAGGGCCTATGGGCCATTCTGAGGACTTCAGTTATTTTGAAACCAATAGTAAGCCACTAGGAAATTTAAACAAGAAAAAATATCAAATTTTAGTTTTAAAAGAACATCTGATTGTAGAGTAGAAAAGGGATTGAAGGGGAGATGATCAATTAGAAGCCTGTTAAGTTGTATACAATTGACAGTGGGTTGTATTAGCACAAAGATGGAGAGAAATGGGTAATTTCGAGTTTTTTGGAAGTGGAATCAATAGGATTTGGTGATGGGCTGATGAGAGAGAGAGGATAAAAGAGTTGTAGATGACCCCAAAGTTCTGCAGGAGCCACGGGGCTAGATGTTGGTGCCATCTGCTGAGCGGGGAGCCAGGAAGGCAGACAGGATGTGGAGGTCAGGGCTTAATTTCGGCCAGGTTCTGTTTGAGATGCCCATGAAATAGCCAAATGGAGTGAGATACAAAAGTTTGGAACTTTTATAAGCTGAGGGAGATATAAAAGTTTGGAACTCTGAGGAGGGTGTAGGCTACAGACCTCATATAAACACATCCAAGCCACGAATCTCTAGATAGAGGGGGGAAGGGGCCAGAACCCCTGTGAGGAAGCACTGGAAGCATTTATGTTTGTGTAAAGAAAAAGGAACAATCTGAAAATGAAACTGAAAATGGAGGGTTGAGGAGACTTTTGGGAAATGGAGCAGGAGAAATCAATGTAGCAAGCTCATGGCAAAAAGAAAGTTGTTGTTGACTACAGGCAGTCAGGGATTCTAGTTGCTTCCATTTCCCTAAAATGACATGGTTATGTTTCTTGATCTACAGGAGTTCAAGCGACAATGGCAGCCCAATACGGCAGTATGAGCTTCAACCCCAGCACACCAGGGGCCAGTTATGGTGAGAGGGCATTCAGTGCTCCCCAGACCAGGCTGCAGGGAGGTTAGCAGGTGGGGGTGGGGGATTTGGGGGGGAATAGGGGTGGGGTTCTCCTGCCTTGCCACCCAGTCCCCATTTGAGCAGGAGAAAAATATTTCCAACCTCTTTTCTCATTTTCTCCTCATTTGACCTGCTCTTTCATCTTTCTTGACCCTCTGCACTTTCTGCCCATGGTGTGGCTAAGCAGCTAAGCAGAAGAGAGATTAAATATCCTCTGATTGACCCAGGGCTCGGCACAGTTTCTTACCTCCTGCTTCCTACAACATGGACACACCAGAACAGCTGGTTGTAGCCTATCTGATTGTTTTTCTGCCCCTTTCTTCAGCCTGGAGGAGAACTGGGAATGAGGAATGTGGGAGTAATTGTCCCTCACCCTGGTATCTAATTTCCCAGCTCCTGGTGGTCTCACTATAACCAACAAATTAAACTGGCTGGCTCATTCAGTGTATCACATGACCCTCCATTTTCTTCCTTACCCATAGAAATTGACTATATCAGTTGAGATTTTGCTGGTTTAATAAACTATCCCAAAGTTTCATAGCTTAAAACATCAGCCATTTAGTTGGTTCTTAATTCTGTGGGTTCACTGGGCTGTTCTTGGGTCTGGACCAGCTTGGCTCATCTCAGGCACTCACTCATGCATCTGGGGTAAGCTAGTGCCTGGTATGCAACTGAATGGTCTTGGATAGCCTTATGGACATGTCTGGTAGTTAGCAAGCTCTCAGACAGCAAGGGTAATAGAGATAACTGGGCCTTGTTGTTATCATCAAGAAGGCTAGTCCAGGCTTCCTTTTAAGGCAGTTGCAGGAGGAGCAGAAAGAAAAGGCAAGCCACAGTGCATAAGCACTTTTGGAGTCTCTGCTTGCACCAGGCTTTCTACTGTCCTACTGTCCAGAGCAAGTCATAAGGCCCACCCAGATTCAACAGTTGAAGAGACAGATAGCATCTTGATGGGAGGAACTGCAAATCTACATCCCAGAGGCATGCATCCAGGGATGGGAATAGATTGTGGCTACATTTACAATCTCCTCCATGGATTGTCACCATATGCTCTCAACACTGACTAACTGTTGCAGTGTTGGAGCTGGCCTTTGGTGCTTTGTCATTTTGCCTCCCATGATTCTCCTACTTCCTTCCCTATGGCCAAAAAATGCCCTCAGGATATCCTTAGGACAGAGCCTTCTGCTGTGATGCTAACTAAAAATGTGAACGCCAGCCCACGTTTTTCCTTAGATAATCTTAGCCTTCCTGTATCCAGTGTTCTCAGTCACATCACTTTCGGAAATACGCTTCTTTCATCCCAGAATTCTGGTTATCAAACGTGGGAAGGTGTATTTTAAGAATAATGATAAGTTGCATAACCCACTTCCCTGGCTTCTTAATGGGAAGAAGAAATGCTTCATTTTGAATATAAATTGGGAAAATAAATCTCCACTACAGATATGCTAAAGTCAAATCTTGGGTTACTCCCTGCACGACCTTATTTAGAAAGAAACAGCTGGCCGGGTGCAGTGGCTCATGCCCGTAATCCCAGCGCTTTGGGAGGCCGAGGCGGGTGGATCATCTGAGGTCAGCAGTTTGAGACCGGCCTGATCAACATGGCGAAACCCCGTCTCTACTAAAAATACAAAAATTATCCGGGCATGGTGGTGCATGCCTGTAATCTCAGCTACTTGGGAGGCTGAGGCAGGAGAATCGCTTGAACCCAGGAGGCAGAGGTTGTAGTGAGCCGAGATCATGCCACTGCACTTCAGCCTGGGCAACAAGAGTGAAACTCCGTCTCAAAAAGAAAAAATAAAGGTACAAACAGCTATTATTGGCAGCTCATAGTTCTCTTCTGAAACCATTTTATTTCTTCCTCTGGGCTACATAGCTACAAAAGGTCAGACTGAGAAGCTCAAAGGAATCCTAAAAAGCAAGATTGAAGATAGGAGATTAAGGGAAAGGCCAGTTGCCCAAGTACTGAAAAATGAGCATCAGGCCTACAGGAATCTCTGAGTGCAGCAGTAACATCAGGAGAAGCCCCCACAGCCAGTAACGGAGGAGGGCACTGGGGGTGAGGACTCTGCAGGGGAATCTATTAGAGGTAGATTCTAACAGCATGGCTTTTTTTTTTTCTTGATGTCCCAGGGCCTGGAAGGCAAGAGCCCAGAAATTCCCAATTGAGAATTGTGTTAGTGGGTAAAACCGGAGCAGGAAAAAGTGCAACAGGAAACAGCATCCTTGGCCGGAAAGTGTTTCATTCTGGCACTGCAGCAAAATCCATTACCAAGAAGTGTGAGAAACGCAGCAGCTCATGGAAGGAAACAGAACTTGTCGTAGTTGACACACCAGGCATTTTCGACACAGAGGTGCCCAATGCTGAAACGTCCAAGGAGATTATTCGCTGCATTCTTCTGACCTCCCCAGGGCCTCATGCTCTGCTTCTGGTGGTTCCACTGGGCCGTTACACTGAGGAAGAGCACAAAGCCACAGAGAAGATCCTGAAAATGTTTGGAGAGAGGGCTAGAAGTTTCATGATTCTCATATTCACCCGGAAAGATGACTTAGGTGACACCAATTTGCATGACTACTTAAGGGAAGCTCCAGAAGACATTCAAGACTTGATGGACATTTTCGGTGACCGCTACTGTGCGTTAAACAACAAGGCAACAGGCGCTGAGCAGGAGGCCCAGAGGGCACAGTTGCTGGGCCTGATCCAGCGCGTGGTGAGGGAGAACAAGGAAGGCTGCTACACTAATAGGATGTACCAAAGGGCGGAGGAGGAGATCCAGAAGCAAACACAAGCAATGCAAGAACTCCACAGAGTGGAGCTGGAGAGAGAGAAAGCGCGGATAAGAGAGGAGTATGAAGAGAAAATCAGAAAGCTGGAAGATAAAGTGGAGCAGGAAAAGAGAAAGAAGCAAATGGAGAAGAAACTAGCAGAACAGGAGGCTCACTATGCTGTAAGGCAGCAAAGGGCAAGAACGGAAGTGGAGAGTAAGGATGGGATACTTGAATTAATCATGACAGCGTTACAGATTGCTTCCTTTATTTTGTTACGTCTGTTCGCGGAAGATTAAACTTAATGAAAATCTGTTTGTATTTTCTGCATATTCTCTGGCAACCTTGCCCCATACTTACTTATTTAGCATAGTCGAGTGCTCTAGTTTCTGTCTCTCAGGCACTCGTAACTAAGGACCACCATTGGCCATTGGTAGATGTTTGATTGACTTAACAAGAGAGGGACAAATTTTCAATTTGTGAAACTCCAAAGCAGAAAGTATTGGTGCTTGCTACCTTGTGAATTCTTCCTTAGACATGCAGAGAAAATGTATGCAAGAGACCAAAAAGATGGCTCCAAGCTATGTCATGTTACCTGTAATAAAATCTTTTCTTCTAGATTCTTTCTATGTTGGCAGATAATCTCCCCTTGTAGCTTCCACTCACTTATTCTTGCATTCAGAGTCACAATGATCATCTTACCCATGTGGTTTTTGAGAAAGAAAGATCAATTCTTTGTTTGCAGTAGGTAATCTTAGAGATGGAGATGATTGTAGAATTATTCCTAGATGAGTGTCAATTTATTTAATTCCATTGTCATATAAGGAGTCAAATTGTTTCTTATCATTTGTTCATTGAAGAACAGAGACCTGTCTGGAAAATCGATCTCTACAAATTCAATTAAATAATGATCCCCAAATGCTGAAAAAGTGAAATACAGCAATTCAACAGATAATAGAGCAATGTTTAGTATATTCAGCTGTATCTGTAGAAACTCTTTGACGAACCTCAATTTAACCAATTTGATGAATACCCAGTTCTCTTCTTTTCTAGAGAAAGATAGTTGCAACCTCACCTCCCTCACTCAACACTTTGAATACTTATTGTTTGGCAGGTCATCCACACACTTCTGCCCCCACTGCATTGAATTTTTTGCTTATGTTGTTTATAATAAAACTTTTCAATTATCTCATATTTGTGCAGAATTGGAACCTGTTTTGTCTTGGAAAATACTACTGCTACTTCTAATAATACAGGGATGAATTTCACTTTATGGTAAGAGTTCAAGATGATTTTGGAGCTAGACTTTGTCTACCCTCATGACATCTCCCCTTCCCCCTTTCCCTAGAAGATTTGAGCCACAATCTCAACCCATTTATCAGCCAAAGACCACAACTTCCTTGGATCTTCATTATGTGCTGATGGAAATTATGAGTAACCAAGGTTTCTGAGACCTGTGTAGTTTTGTTGGTGCAAAAATTCCCTTTACTATAGAGATAGCGATAGTTGAAGTTCCTATCCCTTTTCTACTTTTCTACTGGGCTCTCCTCACCTAATAATTTCTAGAAATCCTGAAAGCGTGTTTTCATGTTCTACCAGTATGTCCTAGAGGTCACATGTGATTATGCCAACATTCCATGTTCTGCCATCTTGAAATTGGCTTCTCCATGCCCTAAATCATTTTGCCCAAAATAGGATATACATTTCCTTTTTTTTAAATTTTATTATTATTATACTTTAAGTTTTAGGGTACATGTGCACAATGTGCAGGTTTGTTACATATGTATGCATGTGCCATGCTGGTGTGCTGCACCCATTAACTTGTCATTTAGCATTAGGTATATCGCCTAATGCTATCCCTCACCCCTCCCCCCACCCCACAACAAGCCCCGGTGTGTGATGTTCCCCACCCTGTGTCCATGTGTTCTCATTGTTCAATTCCCACCTATGAGTGAGAATATGGGGTGTTTGGTTTTTTGTCCTTGCAATAGTTTGCTGAGAATGATGGTTTCCAGTTTCATCCATGTCCCTACAAAGGACATGAACTCATCATTTTTATGGCTGCATAGTATTCCATGGTGTATATGTGCCACATTTTCTTAATCCAGTCTATCGTTGTTGGACATTTGGGTTGGTTCCAAGTCTTTGCTATTGTGAACAGTGCTGCAATAAACATACGTGTGCATGTGTCTTTATAGCAGCATGATTTATAATCCTTTGGGTATATACCTAGTAATGGGCTGGCTGGGTCAAATAGTATTTCTAGTTCAAGATCCCTGAGGAATCGCCACATTGACTTCCACGATGGTTGAACTAGTTTACAGTCCCACCAACAGTGTAAAAGTGTTCCTATTTCTCCACATCCTCTCCAGCACCTGTTGTTTCCTGACTTTTTAATGATCGCCATTCTAACTGGTGTGAGATGGTATCTCATTGTGGTTTTGATTTGCATTTCTCTGATGGCCACTGATGATGAGCATTTTTTCACGTGTTTTTTGGCTGCATAAACGTCTTCCTTTGAGAATTGTCTGTTCATATCCTTTGCCCACTTTTTGATGGGTTTGTTTTTTTCTTGTAAATTTGTTTGAGTTCATTGTAGATTTTGGATATTAGCCCTTTGTCAGATGAGTAGGTTGCAAAGATTTTCCCCCATTTTGTAGGTTGCCTGCTCACTCTGATGGTAGTTTCTTTTGCTGTGCAGAAGTTCTTTAGTTTAATTAGATCCCATTTGTAAATTTTGACTTTTGTTGCCATTGCTTTTGGTATTTTAAACATGAAGTCCTTGACCATGACTATGTCCTGAATGGTATTGCCTAAGTTTTCTTCTAGGGTTTTTATGGTTTTAGGTCTAACATGTAAGTCTTTAATCCATCTTGAATTAATTTTTGTATCAGGTGTAAGGAAAGGATCCAGTTTCAGCTTTCTATTTATGGCTAGCCAGTATTCCCAGCACCATTTATTAAATAGGGAATCATTTCCCCATTGCTTGTTTTTGTCAGGTTTGTCAAAGATCAGATGGTTGTAGATATGCAGCATTATTTCTGAGGGCTCTGTTCTGTTCCATCGATCTATATCTCTGTTTTGGTACCACTACCATGCTGTTTTGGTTACTGTAGCCTTGTAGTATAGTTTGAAGTCAGGTAACATTATGCCTCCAGCTTTGTTCTTTTGGCTGAGGATTGACTTGGTGATGCAGACTCTTTTTTGGTTCCGTATGAAGTTTAAAGTAGTTTTTTCCAATTCTGTGAAGAAAGTCATTGGTAGCTTGATGGGGATGGCATTAAATCTATAAATTACCTTGGGCAGTATGGCCATTTTCACGATATTGATTCTTCCTACCCATGAGCATGGAATGTTCTTCCATATCTTTGTGTCATCTTTTATTTCATTGAGCAGTGATTTGTAGTTCTCCTTCAAGAGGTCCTTCACATCCCTTGTAAGTCGTATTCCTAGGTATTTTATTCTCTTTGAAGCAATTGTGAATGGGAGTTCACTCATGATTTGGCTCTCTGTCTGTTATTGGTGTATAAGAATGCTTGTGATTTTTGCTCATTGATTTGGTATCCTGAGACTTTGCTGAAGTTGCCTATCAGCTTAAGGAGATTTTGGGCTGAGACGATGGGGTTTTCCAGATATACAATCATGTCATCTGCAAACAGGGACAATTTGACTTCCTCTTTTCCTAACTGAATACCCTTTATTTCCGTCTCCTGCCTGATTGCCCTGGCCAGAACTTCTAACACTATGTTGAATAGGAGTGGTGAGAGAGGGCATCCCTGCCTTGTGCCAGTTTTCAAAGGGAATGCTTCCAGTTTTTGTCCATTCAGTATGATATTGGCTGTGGGTTTGTCATAGATAGCTCTTATTACTTTGAGATACGTCCCATCAATATGTAATTTATTGAGAGTTTTTAGCATGAAGGTTGTTGAATTTTGTCAAAGGCCTTTTCTGCATCTATTGAGATAATCATGTGGTTTTTGTCTTTGGTTCTGTTTATATGCTGGATTATGTTTATTGATTTTCGTATGTTGAACCAGCCTTGCATCCCAGGGATGAAGCCCACTTGATCACGGTGGATAAGCTTTTTGATGTGCTGCTGGATTCGGTTTGCCAGTATTTTATTGAGGATTTTTGCTTCAATGTTCATCAAGGATATTGGTCTAAAATTCCCTTTTTTTTGTTGTGTCTCTGCCAGGCTTTGGTATCAGGATGATGCTGGCCTCAAAAAATGAGTTAGGGAGGATTCCCTCTTTTTCTATTGATTGGAATAGTTTCAGAAGGAATGGTACCAGCTCCTCCTTGTACCTATGGTAGAATTCGGCTGTGAATCCATCTGGTCCTGGAATTTTTTTGGTTGGTATGCTATTAATTATTGCCTCAATTTTTCAGAGCCTGTTGTTGGTCTATTGAGAAATTCAACTTCTTCCTGGTTTAGTCTTGGGAGTGTATGTGTCGAGGAATTTATCCATTTCTTCTAGATTTTATAGTTTATTTGCATAGAGGTGTTTATAGTATTCTCTGATGGTAGTTTGTATTTCTGTGGGATCGGTGGTGATATCCCCTTTATCATTTTTTATTGCATCTATTTGATTCTTCTCTCTTTTCTTCTTTATTAGACTTGCTAGCGGTCTATCAATTTTGTTGATCTTTTCAAAAAAACCAGCTCCTGGATTCATTGATTTTTTTGAAGGGTGTTTTCTGTCTCTATTTCCTTCACTTCTCCTCTGATCTCAGTTATTTCTTGCCTTTTGCTAGCTTTTGAATGTGTTTGCTCTTGCTTCTCTAGTTCTTTTAATTGTGATGTTAGGGTGTCAATTTTAGATCTTTCCTCCTTTCTCTTGTGGGCATTTAGTGCTATAAATGTCCCCCTACACACTGCTTTGAATGTGTCCCAGAGATTCTGGTATGTTGTGTCTTTGTTCTCATTGGTTTCAAAGAACATCTTTATTTCTGCCTTCATTTTGTTATGTACCCAGTGGTCATTCAGGAGCAGGTTGTTCAGTTTCCATGTATTTGAGCAGTTTTGAGTGAGTTTCTTAATCCTGAGTTCTAGTTTGATTGTACTGTGGTCTGAGAGACAGTTTGTTATAATTTCTGTTCTTTTACATTTGCTGAGGAGAGCTTTACTTCCAACTATGTGGTCAATTTTGGAATAGGTGTGGTGTGGTGCTGAAAAGAATGTATAGTCTGTTGATTTGGGGTGGAGAGTTCTGTAGATGTCTATTATGTCCACTTAGTGCAGAGTTGAGTTCAATTCCTGGATATCCTTGTTAACTTTCTGTCTCGTTGATCTGTCTAATGTTGACAGTGGGGTGTTAAAGTCTCCCATTATTATTGTGTGGGAGTCTAAGTCTCTTTGTCGGTCACTAAGGACTTGCTTTATGAATCTGGGTGCTCCTGTATTGGGTGCATATATATTTAGGATAATTAGCTCTTCTTGTTGAATTGATCCCTTTACCATTATGTAATGACCTTCTTTGTCTCTTTTGATCTTTGTTGGTTTAAAGTCTGTTTTATCAGAGACTAGGATTGCAAACCCTGCCTTTTTTTGTTTTCCATTTGCTTGGTAGATCTTCCTCCATCCCTTTATTTGGAGCCTATGTGTGTCTCTGCACGTGAGATGGGTTTCCTGAATACAGCACACTGATGGGTCTTGACCCTATATCCAATTTGCCAGTCTGTGTCCTTTAATTGGAGCATTTAGCCCATTTACATTTAAGGTTAATATTGTTATGTGTGAATTTGGTCCCGTCATTATGATGTTAGCTGGTTATTTTGCTCATTAGTTGATGCAGTTTCTTCCTAGCCTTGATGGTCTTTACATTTTGGCATGTTTTTGCAGTGGCTTGTACTGGTTGTTCCTTTCCGTGTTTAGTGCTTCCTTCAGGAGCTCTTTTAGGGCAGGCCTGGTGGTGACAACATCTCTCAGCATTTGCTTGTCTGTAAAGGATTTTATTTCTCCTTCACTTATGAAGCTTAGTTTGGCTGGATATGAACTTCTGGGTTGAAAATTCTTTTCTTTAAGAATGTTGAATATTGGCCCCCACTCTCTTCTGGCTTGTAGAATTTCTGCCGAGAGATCAACTGTTAGTCTGATGGGCTTCCCTTTGAGGGTAACCCGACGTTTCTTTCTGGCTGCCCTTAACATTTTTTCCTTCCTTTCAACTTTGTTGAATCTGACAATTATGTGTCTTGGAGTTGCTCTTCTTGAGGAGTATCTTTGTGGCATTCTCTGTATTTCCTGAATCTGAATGTTGGCCTGCCTTGCTAGATTGGGGAAGTTCTCCTGGATAATATCCTGCAGAGTGTTTTCCAACTTGGTTCCCTTCTCCCCGTCACTTTCAGGTATACCAATCAGACGTAGATTTGGTCTTTTCACACAGTCCCATATTTCTTGGAGGCTTTGTTCATTTCTTTTTATTCTTTTTTCTCTAAACATCCCTTCCTGCTTCATTTCATTCATTTTGTCTTCCATCACTGATACCCTTTCTTCCAGTTGATTGCATCAGCTCCTGAGGCTTCTGCATTCTTCACTTAGTTCTGGAGCCTTGGCTTTCAGCTCCATCAGGTCCTTTAAGGACTTCTCTGCACTGGTTATTCTAGTTATCCATTCATCTAATTTTTTTTCAAAGTTTTTAACTTCTTTGCCATTGGTTTGAATTTCCTCCTGTAGCTCAGAGTAGTTCGATCATCTGAAGCCTTCTTCTCTCAACTCGTCAAAGTCATTCTCTGTCCAGCTTTGTTCCATTGCTGGTGAGGGCTGCATTCCTTTGGAGGAGGAGAGGTGCTCTGCTTTTTAGAGTTTCCAGTTTTTCTGCTCTGTTTTTTCCTCATCTTTGTGGTTTTATCTACTTTTGGTCTTTGATGATGGTGACGTACAGATGGGTTTTTGGTGTGGATGTCCTTTCTGTTTGTTAGTTTTCCTTCTAACAGACAGGACCCTCAGCTGCAGGTCTGTTGGAGTTTGCTAGGTCCACTCCAGACCCTGTTTGCCTGGGTATCAGCAGCGGTGGCTGCAGAACAGTGGATATTGGTGAACCGCAAATGCTGCTGCCTGATCGTTCCTCTGGAAGTTTTGTCTCAGAGGAGTACCCAGCCGTGTGAGGTGTCAGACTGCGCCTACTGTTGGGTGCCTCCCAGTTAGGCTGCTCGGGGGTCATGGACCCACTTGAGGAGGCAGTCTGCCCATTCTCAGATCTCAAGCTGCGTGCTGGGAGAACCACTACTCTCTTCAAAGCTGTCAGACAGGGACATTTAAGTCTGCAGAGGTTACTGCTGTCTTTTTATTTGTCTGTGCCCTGCCCCCAGAGGTGGAGCCTACAGAGGCAGGCAGGCCTCCTAGAGCTGTGGTGGGCTCCACCCAGTTTGAGCTTCCTGGCTGTTTTGTTTACCTACTGAAGCCTTGGCAATGGCAGGCACCCCTCCCCCAGCCTTGCTGCCACCTTGCAGTTTGATCTCAGACAGCTGTGCTAGCAATCAGAAAGACTCCGTGGGCATAGGACCCTCCAAGCCAGGTGCAGGGTATAATCTCCTGATGTGCCGTTTTTTAAGCCCGTTGGAAAAGCACAGTATTAAGGTTGAAGTGACCCGGTTTTCCAGGTGCTGTCTGTCACCCCTTTCTTTGACTAGGAAAGGGAACTCCCTGACCCCTTGCACTTCCTGAGTGAGGCAATGCCTTGCCCTACTTTGGCTCACACACAGTGCGCTGCACCCACTGTCCTGCACCCACTGTCTGGCACTCCCTAGTGAGATGAACCTGGTACCTCAGATGGAAATGCAGAAATCACCCATTTTCTGTGTCGCTCACGCTGGGAGCTGTAGACCCAAGCTGTTCCTATTTGGCCATCTTGGCTCCACCCCAGGATATACATATCTTCCTTATTTCCCCAAAGCACAAATAAGTTTAGACTGTACATTTAACAAAAGTTAGCAAAGGCTTAAATATAAGAGAAGCACTACACAATGAAATGTGCGATTCCTTTAGAAATAATCACTCAGAGTAAGACAGCTTCTGCTCTCACCTATTGTATTACTACTGTCTGTGAGCAAATATTTGAACAAAAAGCCACACATACCTCCCAAGAGGAAGTACATTCAGGTTTAATAGGAAAAAATCTCTAACTGCAGTGGTTGTTATCAGTGTAACACACACTCAATTATTCTTCCCCTTGCATTCAGGTTAATGCTGCAGATGAGGGAAAGAAAAAGGTTCTGACTTAAGAAGCAGCAAGCAGATGAGAAGCCCAAGTGAAAAACTCTAAGAAGAGTGTTGCCTGTTTGCCTCCCAGGAGAGAAGGCAGACAGAAGGTCCTTGGCAAATACTATGCATTGTGATTAATACAAGAGGAGAGGGAGACATGTTTCCTTCTCTCAAGAGTTTTGAGGCTTCATACCTACTCACGCACTCATTACCACTCATTGATTCCTTGTATCTCATGGTTGGTTCTAGAGCAGACACTGAGAATCTAGAGATGAGTAAAAGAAGTCCCTTTTGAGATTGGGTTTGTTTGTCTCAGCATAATGCTTTCGAGAGTCATCTGAGTTGCCTGTTCTTTTTTTTCTGAGTAGTATTTTACCATATGGATGTTCCACAGTTTGCCTTTCTTTACTTATTCTTGTGCACCTAATTGATTTATCTTGTTTGATTGCATTGGCCAATACCTCCATTATAATGTTGAGCAGTAGTGGAGATGACAAGCATGCTTGCCTTATTCTTGGCAATGCCTCCAATGTTTCCCAGTTAAACAAGTAAGGTTCTGGGTTACAGTAGTATCACTGCTCTGCTTTTCCTCTTCTTAAGATGGAAAGCTCAGATATTTGATTTTAGAACTCTCTTCTTTACTAGCGTAAGTCTGTAAAGCTATAAAATTTCTCTCTGTTTATGTTTGTCCACATTTTTATTTGGAGAGGTGGTAAAAGAAAATATTATTTCAATTATGAAAGCTTTTGTGGGAAAATTGGGGAAAAGACTGGATATTTAAATGTTTGCCAACATGAAAGGTCTTCCACTGAGGCACCCATTTTGAATGAAACACTTTGAGTCCACTATCAACTCAGCTGGTAGCTACTTGCCTTGTCCCCAGCCACTGAGAGGACAAGGCAAAAGAGAACAGCAAGGAATTCCCCTGCATGGGTCCTTTCTGGCTGCCTCACTGTCAGGGCTCTGAAGAGATGGATTGTGAGCACAGCTTCAACAACAAAACCACATTGTGAAAGGTTAAGAGTTTTTAGTACTTATATACCCTGGGGAATGTTTTGTTTTAAAATATTTCCAAATTTATGAGAGGCGTTGTAAATTCAGGACAAAATATGAATTCATGGTATAGATGTTTTAAAATCATTTACACTTGTCAAGTAAGAATTCTAGCTAGATATTTGACACAAATCCCTTGTAAGCAGTCTCATTTTCATGTTTCATGACCCAGGATTACTGGACCATGCTCTGTTCCATTTTTGGAACCCAACATGATTTTGCCCTGATTGCCCCCCAAAAGGATTTCATCTTCCTCCACTTATACAGCCACTTATACAGAATATTTGATCAGGAAAATTGAAGCATATGTAGGTATAGGTAGGATATATTTTCAAATCCAGGAAATTAGAGGCTGGCCCACCCCTTGGAGGGCTGGGAATGCAGAGGTCTTGGAAGCTTGCTGATGCACAGAGCTGGGTGGTTTTGAGGCGCTCATTTGCTGTGACATGCAGGTAGGTCTGCTCATTGTCTCTCTGCTGTTGCTGCCAGAGAATGGTCCTTCTTCCTTGTCCACCATCCAAATCTCATGTGAATGTCTCATCTTGATTTATTCTCACTTGGACCATACAGTGTAAGAGGTGATGAGAAATATCATTCTAGGCTCCTCCGTGATTCAGAAACAACAGATGATGTTGGAGGTCGAAAGACTGAGGGTCGTGATCAATTCCGTATACCACTGGGGCTATATGAGTAGGCAGCAAACTGTTTCTCATAAATGCAGAATTTTGGCAGACTGACAAACTGCATCTTCCACCCAGAAGGGATATTGAGGGCAGTTACACCCCAAGCACGATGTTTCTTGTGATTAGGTACATCTGAAGCTTGTTAGTAATCATATGAACCTGTGATCAATTAAGAAGCGGACCAGTAGTTACCTCCTGCTCTCTGGCCATTCTACCCAATAAATACGAAGTGCAGTAGAAGCTCAGGGGCTGCTTTTGCTCACTAGAAGGAGGAGTGCTATTCTTCTTCCCCAGTTCCCCTTCCTATAAAAGTTTCTTTTGTCTTAAGCTTTCATTTCTACGTTTGTCCCTTCATTCCGTCTTGTGATGATGGTTTCAAGTAGTAACAGTAGTAACTGTCATAGTGACAGTCTCAAGTAATAACCATGGCAGTCAGCCAAAAGTGGCACCTGAACAGGGACAAACAGGGACTATCAGAGACAAAAAGAGACCTGAAGGGACCTGAAGAGGCCTGCAGGGACAAATAGAGATAAGGAGGGATAAATGGAGATAAATAGACAAATAGGGACAAATAGAGATAGGTAGGGAAAGACAGGGACTTGCAAGAACTTGCAGGAACTAACAGGGGCTATAGGGACTGAGAGGGACAGATAGGGATAGATAAAGACTAGCAAAACTTGCTGGGACAGATAGGGAGAGTTGGGTCCTAAAGGGACTTGAATGAGGAAGGTCTGCTGGAACAGAAAAAACCAAAGCCCAGAAAAAATTAAAACCAACCAGACGAATGAGAAACCCTGTTACAAGTCTGCCTGCAGCAACATAAGGTCAGGGCCCTAGAGGTACAAAGAATGGGAAGTTTTTGAATCAGGGTAACATGGGGAAGAATTTGGCTATTTCTTCGCTCTTTTGTTTGGAGTTCGGTACGTACTATCTTTTTGTTATTTCAGGGTTTTAGGGAATTTTTTGCCCCACCTACAGCACCTATCAAAAGTAGTGAACAGGAGAGGGAGAATGGAAATTGGCTTGTACCATCTTCCTTTGTGGCTACAGAAAGGCTAACTTTAGCTTTGGCTTTCTGGGATTGTAAACCTGCATTGGCACCTGTGAGATGTGCAGAGAACTTGGGAGGTTTTCTCGGAGCTTGTCGGGATGTGGGAACTGAGCTTCATTGCTCTGCAGTATTGACTCAGACAATGGCTAATTTGGTAGCTGACAGATCTAAAAGAAGCCAAGGGTCAAGCCCTAATGTGGGAAAGTGTTATAAGTGTAGAAAAATTGGACATTTCAAAAAAGAACACTGCCAGACCTCTGGGCAAAAGGGATCTTGTAACACAGTTCCCCTCTTAACAGAAAAAATGCCAGGACTTGGCCCTCATTGCAATAAAGGGAATCATTGAGTTAATCAATGCCACTCAAAGTTTCATCAAAATGGCAGCCCCCTCTTGGGAAGTGAGAAGGGGGCCTGGACCCTGGCACCTCAAAAAATGAGGGCATTCCCTGTCCAGAGAACAGCTTCATTTCAGGGATTGGTTTCCAGAGGCATATTGATTCCCTCTCCCCAGGAACACCTGGAAGCGCAGGATTAGATGGCCCAGTTAGAGAGCAGGTTACGTTAATTGGAAGAAACAAACTCACTAAGATTCCCATTGGCATTTGTGGACCTTTGCCAACAGGATACATGGGATTAATTTTGGGCAAAAGCTGTCTTAACTTACAGGCCCAGGAGTTGGTAATTGGGATTGTGAAGGAGAAATTCAAGCAGTGGTAACGTCACAAGATCTTTGGGTTTTTGAACCAGGAGAATATATTGCTCAACTGTTGCTTATTCCCTATAAATTGTACCCCTCTCTACATAAGAAGAAGTGAGGAGGTCAGGGATTTGGAAGTGCAACTGGGAGAGAGACTTACCTATCACAACCCGTGGCATCTAATAGACCCACCTATACAGTGCAAATCAAAGGAAAGAAGTTTTATGGGCTTATGGATATAGGAGCTGATGTGTCAGTGTGTCAGTAATATCTAAAAACAATTGGCCCCTATCTCGGTCCCTAAAACTATCTTCTACATCCCTAGTGGGAGTAGGAACAGCTCAAAGTGTTCAACAGAGTGCTGAGATTCTGTCATGTCTCAGACTGGATGGGCGGTTCGTGTTTTGTGTCTCAAGGTTTAAAGGAGTCTTTTGCCCTGCACGTTGAACCCACCGGGGGTGGAGGGCAGGAGAGGGAGGATGAGAATTGGCCTGTACTGCCCTTTTCAGTAGTAGAGACACCTGTACTATCTTCTGAAGCAGAAACAGAGACCCTAATAGTTAGGCAGGAATATCATCACCCCTATTCAGCCTGAAGAAGTTACAGAAGACAGATCTTCATCCCTCTGCAACCCTTAGGATTAAGGGTCCTCTTGTAAAGGGGGAGATATGTCAGAGGCATTCAAACCAGGGCCGTTTCACTTGTTTCTGGGACTTCAACAAGCTGTTCACTCTCATGCTGCTCCTTTTCATGTTTCTAATGTTCACCCTCACACACTGCTCCCTGGGCTGCTCTCTTTGGGTGGTGATGGAATGAGAGACTGGAGAAGGATAAGCCTCGATTTGCTCTCTGTGTGCCTTCTGTTAATCAGAAAGAGCCAGCCTCTCATTATCAATGGAAAGTTTTACCCTGCGGTAATTAACCAAAGAGACAGAAGCTGAGTTACAGGTTGCAGAGCAGACGCTTCAGCAACGGCATGCCTCCCGGCTACAGCCACAAAAACTTTTTGCTTCTGCTTTGCTAGATTTACTAACGTGGGGGCGAGGGTATGCTTGTGTTTTCACAGCAAATGAACAAACCATGTGGGTGCCCTCAAGGTGTGTACAACCATGGAACAGGAGATTGGAGGGAACCATGGATCCCAGCCACAGGCCTGGTTCCCCCAGTGTGAGCCATGAGCCAGTTGAATCTGAATGTGAAGACGAACGAACCACCAACCAGCAATTGAAGGCTGCACATTTTGCAATTGCCTTATTCAATTAATTCAAAAACAAAAAGGGAGAAATGTTGGAGGACAAAAGATTGAGGGTCGTGGTCAATTCAGCATACCACTGGAGGCTATATGAGTAGGCAGCAAACTGTTTCTCAAATGCAGAATGTTGGCAGACCGACAAACTGTGTCTTCCACCCAGAAGGGATACTGAGGGCAGTGACGGCCAAGTGCAATGTTTGTTGTGATTAGGTACATCTGAAGCCTGTTAGTAATAATGTGAACCTGTGTTCAATTAAGCAGCTGACCAATCATTACCTTCTGCTCCCTGGTCATTCTACCCAATAAATACGAAGCGTGGTAGAAGCTCAGGGGCGGCCTTTGCTCACTAGAAGCAGGGAGCCCTTTTCTTCTTCCCCAGTTCCCTTTCCTTTAAAATGGTTTCTTTTGTCTTAAGTTTTCATTTCTATGTTCGTCCCTTCATTCAGTCTTGTAATGACGGTCTCAAGTAGTAACAGTAGTAACTGTCATAGTGACAGTCTCAAGTAATAACCATGGCAGTCAGCCACAAGATGATTTGGCACTGCTGAAGCATTCATAGAGCAGCATTCATCATCTATCTGACCTTTTTGTGGGAAATGTTTCCTAGCCCATTCAAGACACTTATGCTCATTGATGCTGGGTATACCCAGGACAAAGTAGTTTTGATCTTGTATTTTGACTACTTGCTATCTGTCTCCTACAGTTATGGCTGATGAAGAACACTTCCTTATTCACCATTGGATTCCAATATCCTGGAGTGTGTGAAGCACTCGTTAAATATTTTTCACCCATTTGGCAGTGGTACATCCCCCTTGCCCTTGGAGAATGGTAAAACTTGGCTCAAGCTGCATTTCCACAGCACACAGAATCCAAACTCCCTCCTGCAGGGAGCTTTCTGCACTCACTTCCTCATCCTTCCCCTACTTCCTCCTGCGTGTGCCACTGTCCTCTGTCTTACCCCATTTCATGCACTTGCAGTTCATTCACTTGAAGTTCAGTTTTCTGCCTAGTTTCCACCATCATAATAGTGATCAGCATTATGTAAGCTTCAGCAGCTTTCCTAGAGATTTTGAGTTACAGGGGAAGGTACCAAAGACAGCACTGGGCATTTCTATACCAAGCTCACTCTCCTCCCTCTGGCTTGGAAAGAGAAACTGTTTATCCCTCTACACCCAGGAGGAAACAACTCTGGAGTTGCTTAATAAATTGTCATCTTCTCAGGAATGCAGATGACTGATCAATTCCAGGATGTTAGAGAGCCTGACACCCACTGGAGCACTTCCTACTATTGTTTTAACTTTCCAAAAACAAGAAACAGACTGTCCTTTCCCCTTTGCCCTGTGGTGACCAGACATGACCTTCATTTTTGCTTTCTCTTTCCACTCTACAGTCACCAATGAAGGTCTCCTTCTGGCAGCTCTGCCTGGGTCAGATTCTGTTGGTTTTCTCTCCTGGGGCTGTCACTCTGTGGTTGTCAGGTGGCCCAGGATGGGGAATAACTCCCTTCTGTTCCAGTAGGAGGATTAAGACACTTACTTTGAGCTCTGGTCCCAGCTCTGGTCTCTACTCCATCTTTATTAGAAAGTCATATCCTTCTGGTAAAAAGACGGTATTTTGCCTGATTTGATTGAGTTCTTTGTGTGTTCTATGTCCTTCGGAATCCTGCAGGGGAGAAGGGTCTTTGGCACCCTGTCATTTACTAGGAATGTTGGAAATAGGGGAAATGCCTTGAACATTAGGTGTTAGGAATGCCAATTCCCAGGTTCCACTCTACACCTACTTCCTCAGAAAGTTTGTATTTTAACAAGCTTAAATGCATGCTAATGCTAGAGGTTCTTTGAGAATGCAATATTTGCTTCATAGACATATAGAAAAATCAGCTGCCAACATTCAAAAACATTAATAGAATTTTTTCAGCCATGTTAGCCTGAGTACTTTCTTCAGAATGGATTGTCTGCATTTTATCATTTCTCCAATTTCCATGTCAAGGCCCAGGTTTCCAGGTTACTAGACACTAGCGTTTTATACAGAAGTCTAGGTAATAAGATATGGAAACCCACATCCTCTTCTAGGGGAAAAGAGCCAGAGGGGAATGCAGAAAAATAAAGCAGTCAGATGTGTATCCTGAGTTTTGTCTCTCCAGATGTTGGCTCAGGAAATAGATATATTAGATATCAGAGTTCTACCCATCCCTTGAACCTTGGTCTGGGGAGTACTTTCAGAGTAACAGTCTTTCTAATGTGGCTGTGGCCACGTGTAGTTCCTCATTTTGAGGATCTAAACACCTTTACTTTTTGTCTGGTTTTCATCACTCTATGTTGCTTTCCAATATTTTATTCTTTTTAAAAAAATTATACTCTAAGTTCTGGATACGTGTGCAGAACGTACAGGTTTGTTACATAGGTATACACGTGCCATGGTGGTTTGCTACACCCATCAACCCGTCATCTATATTAGGTATTTCTCCTAATGCTGTCCCTCCCTCAGCCCCCCACCCCACAACAGGCCCCGGTGTGTGATGTTCCTCTTCCTGTGTCTATGTGTTCTCATTGTTCAACTCTCACTTATGAGTGAGAACATGCAGTGTTTGGTTTTCTGTTCCTGTGTTAGTTTGCTGAGAATGATGGTTTCCAGCTTCATCCTTGTCCCTGCAAAGGACATGAGCTCATCTTTTTTAATGGCTGCATAGTATTCCATGGTATGTATGTGCCACATTTTCTTTATCCAGTCTACCATTGATGGGCATTTGGGTTGGTTCCAAGTCATTGCTATTGTGAATAGTGCTGCAATAAACATATGTGTGCATGTGTCTTTATAGTAGAATGATATATAACCCTTTGGGTTTATACCCAGTAATGGGATTGCTGGGTCAAATGGTATTTCTGGTTCTAGATCCTTGAGGAATTGCCACACTATCTTCCACAATGGTTGAACTAATTTACACTCCCACTCTTGGGTATACACCCAAGGGATTATATATCATTCTACTATAAAAATGAAAAAGCGTTACTATTTCTACACTTTTACACTGTTGGTGGGCGTATAAATTAGTTTGACCATTGTGGAAGACAGTGTGGCAATTCCTCAAGGATCTAGAACTAGAATTACCATTCGACCCAGCCATCCCATTACTGGGTATATATACCCAAAGGATTATAAATTATTCTACTATAAATGCACATGCACACATATGTTTATTGTGGCACTATTCACAATAGCAAAGACTTGGAACCAACCCAAATGTCCATCAGTGATAGACTGGATTAAGAAAATGTGGCCCCTATACACCATGGAATACTATGCAGCCATAAAAAAGGATGAGTTCATGTCCTTTGTAGGGACATGGATGAAGCTGGAAACCATCATTCTCAGCAAACTATCACCAGGACAGAAAACCAAACACCACATGTTCTCACTCATAGGTGGGAATTGAACAATGAGAACACATGGACACAGGGTGGGGAACATCACACACTGGGGCCTGTTGTGGGGTGGGGGGAAGGGGGAGGGATAGCATTAGGAGAAATACCTAATGTAAATGAGGAGTTGATGGGTGCAGCAAAACAACATGGCACATGTGTACCTATGTATCAAACCTGCATGTTGTGCACATGTACTCTAGATCTTAAAGTATACTAATAAAAAATACATATATTTTTAAAAAGTGTTCCTATTTCTCCACATCCTCTCCAGCATCTGTTGTTTGCTGACTTTTTAATGATGGCCATTCTAAGTATTATGAGATGGTATCTCATTGTGGATTTGATTTGCATTTTTCTAATGAGCAATGATGATGAGTTTTTTCATGTTTTTTGGCGCATAAATGTCTTCTTTTGATAAGTGTCTGTGGATGTTGTTTACCCACTTTTTGATGGGGTTGTTTGTTTTTTTCTTGTAAATTTGTTTATGTTCCTTGTAGATTTGGATATTAGCCGTTTGTCAGATGGATAGATTGCAAAAATTTTCTCCCATTTTGTAGGTTTCCTCTTCACTCTGATGATAGTTTCTTTTGCTGTATAGAAGCTCTTTAGTTTAATTAGACCCCATTTGTCAATTTTAGCTTTTGTTGCCATTGCTTTTGGTGTTTTAGTCATGAAGTCTTTGCCCATGCCTACGTCTTGAATGGTATTGCCTAGGTTTTCTTCTAGGGTTTTTATGGTTTTAGGTTTTATGTTTAAGTCTTTAATCCATCTTGAGTTAATTTTTATATAAGGTGTAAGGAAGGCATCCAGTTTCTGTTTTCTGCATATGGCTAGCCAGTTTTCCCAACACCATTTATTAAATAGGGAATCCTTTTCCCATTGCTTGTTTTTGTCAGGTTTGTCAAAGACCAGATGGTTGTAGTTGGATGGCATTATCTTTGAGGCCTCTGTTCTATTCCATTGGTCTATATATCGGTTTCAGTATCAGTATCATGCTGTTATATTTACTGTAGCCTTGTAGTATAGTTTGAAGTCAGGTAGCATGATGCTCCAGCTTTGTTCTTTTTGCTTAGGATTGTCTTGGCTATATGGGCTCTTTTTTGGTTCCATATGAAATTTAAAGTAGTTTTTTCTAATTCTGTGAATAAAGACAATGGTAGCTTAATGGAGATAGCATTGAATCTATAAATTACTTTAGGCAGTATGGCCATTTTCATGATATTGATTCTTTCTATCCATGAGTGTGGAAAGTTTTTCCATTTGTTTGTGTCCTCTCTTATTTCCTTGAGCAGTGGTTTGTAGTTCTCCTTGAAGAGGTCCTTCACATCCCTTGTAAGTTGTACTCCTAGGTATTTTTTTCTCTCTGTAGCAATTGTGAATAGGAGTTCACTCATTATTTGGCTCTCTGTTTGTCTATTATTGGTGTATAGGAATGCTTGTGATTTTTGCACATTGATTTTGTAACCTGAGACTTTGCTAAAGTTGCTTATCAGCTTAAGGAGATTTTGGGCTGAGAATGGGGTTTTTTAAATATACAATCATGTCATCTGCAAACAGAGACAATTTGACTTCCTCTCTTCCTGTTTTTGAATACTCTTTATTTCTTTCTCTAGCCTGATTGCCCTGGCCAGAACTTCCAATACTATGTTGAATAGGAGTGGTGAGAGAGGGCAGGTTTGTCTTGTGCTGGTTTTCAAAGGGAATGCTTCCAACTTCTGCCTATTCAGTATGATATTGGCAGTGGGTTTGTCATAAGTAGCTCTTATTATTTTGAGATACATTCCATCAGTACCAAGTTTATTGACAGTTTTTAGCATGAAGGGGTATTGAATTCTATCTAAGGCCTTTTCTGCATCTATTGAGATAATCATGTGGTTTTTGTCATTGGTTCTGTTTATGTGATGGATTATGTTTATTGATTTGCACATGTTGAACCAGCCTTGAGTCCCAGGGATGAAGCCGACTTGATGGCGGTGGATAAGCTTTTTGATGTGCTGCTGGATTTGGTTTGCCAGTATTTTATTGAGGATTTTCACATTGATGTTCATCAGGGATATTGGCCTGAAAGTTTCTTTTTTTGTTGTTGTGTCTCTGCCAGGTTTTGGTATTAGGATGATACTGGTCTTATAAAATGAGTTAGGAAGGAGTCCCTCTTTTTCTATTGTTTGGAATAGTTTGAGAAGTAATGGTATCTGCTCTTCTTTTTACCTCTGGTGGAATTCAGCTGTGAATCTGCCTGGTCCTGTGCTATTTTTGGTTGGTAGGCTATTAGTTACTGCCTCAATTTCAGAACTTGTTATTGGTCTATTCAGGGATTCGACTTCTTCCTAGTTTAGTCTTGGAGGGTGTATGTCTCCAGGAATTTATCCATTTCTTCTAGATTTTCTAGTTATTTGCATAGAGATGTTTATAGCATTCTCTGCTGGTAGCTTGTATTTCTGTGGGATCAGTGGGTAATATCCAGTTTATCATTTTTTATTGTGTCTATTTCATTCTTCTCTCTTTTCTCCTTTATTAATTTGGCTAGTGGTATATCTATTTTGTTAATCTTTTTTAAAGAAAAAAAACAGCTCCTGGATTCATTGATTTTTTGAAGGTTTTTTCATGTCTCTACGTCCTTCAGTTCTGGTCTGATCTTATTTCTTGTCTTGTAGCTAGCTTTTGAATTTGCTTGCTTTTGCTTCTCTAGTCCTTTTAATTGTGATATCATGGTGTCAATTTTAGATATTTCCCTTTTTTTCCTGTAGGCATTTAGTGCTATAATTTTTCCTCTAAACACTGCTTTAGCTGTGTCCCAGAGATTCTGATACATTGTGTCTTTGTTCTCATTAGTTTCAAAGAACTTCATTATTTCTACCTTAATTTCGTTATTTACCCAGTAGTCATTCAGGAGCATGTTGTTCACTTTCCACGTTCTCGTGCAATTTTGAGTGAGTTTCTGAATCTTGAGTTCTAATTTGATTGCACTGTGGTCTGAGAAACTGTTACTATTTCCCTTCTTTTGCATTTGCTGAGGAGTGTTTTACTTCCAATTATGTGGTCAGTTTTAGACTAAGTGCAATGTGGTGCTGAGAAGAATGTATATTCTGTTGATTTGGGGTGGAGAGTTCTTTAGATGTCTACTGGGTCTGCTTTGTTCAGAGCTAAGTTCAAGTCCTGAATATTGTTGTTAATTATCTGTCACGTTGATCTGTCTAATATTGACAGTGAGGTGTTAATGCCTACCACTACTATTGTGTGGGAGTCTAAGTCTCTTCATAGGTCTCTAAGAACTTTATGAATTTGGGTGCTCCTGTATTGGGTGCATATATATTTAGGATAGTTAGCTCTTCTTGTTGCATTGATCTCTTTACCATTATATAATGCCCCTCTTTGTCTTTTTTGATCTTTGTTGGTTTAAAGTCTGTTTTTATCAGAGACTAGGATTACAACCCCTGCTTTTTTTCTCTCTCTATTTGCTTGGTAAATATTCCTCCATCCATTTATTTTGAGCCTATGTCTGTCTTTGCACCTAAGATGGGTCTCCTGAATACAGCAGCACACGTTGGGTCTTGACTCTACATCCAATTTGCCAGTCTGTGTCTTTTAATTGGGGGCATTTAGCCCATTTACATTTAAAGTTAATATTGTTATGTGAATTTGATCCTGTCATTATGATGCTAGCTGGCTATTTTGCCCATTAGTTGATGCTGTTTCTTCATAGTGTCAATGGTCTTTACAATTTGTTATGTTTTTGCAGCAGCTGGTACTGGTTGTTTCTTTCCATGTTTCATGCTTCCTTCAGGTGTTCTTGTAAGGCAGGCCTGATGGTGACAAAATCTCTCAGTATTTGCTTGTCTGTAAAGGATTTTATTTCTGTTTCACTTATGAAGCTTAGTTTGGCTGGATATAAAATTCTGGGTTGAAATTTCTTTTATTTCAGAATGTTGAATATTGACAACCCCCAACTCTCTTCTGCCTCGTATGGTTTCTGCAGAGAGATACACTGTTAATCTGATGAGCTTCCCTTTGTGGGTAACCTGATCTTTCTCTCTGGCTGCCCTTAACGTTTTTTTCCTTCATTTCAACTTTGTTGAATCTGACAATTATATGTCTTGGGGTTGCTCTTCTCGAGGAGTATCTTTGTGGTGGTTTCTGAATTTCTTGAATTAGAATGTTGGCCTGTCTTGCTAGGTTGGGGAAGTTCTCCTGGATAATATCCTGGAGAGTGTTTTTCAACTTGGGTCCATTTTCCCCATAACTTTCAGGTACACCAATCAAATGTCTTTTCACATAGTTCCATATTTCTTGGAGGCTTTGTTCCTTCCTTTTCATACTTTTTTTCTCTAATCTTTCCTTCATGCTTTATTTCATTAAGTTGATCTTCAGTCTCTGAAATCCTTTCTTCAGCTTGATCCATTTGGCTATTGATACTTGTGTATACTTCACAAAGTTCTCGTACTGTGTTTTTCAGCTTCATCAGGTCATTTATGTTCTTCTCTAAACTGATTATTCTGGTTAGCAATTTCTCTAACCTTTTTCAAGGTTCTTAGCTTTCTTGCATTGGGTTAGAACATGCTTCTTTAGCTCAGAGGTGTTTGTTATTACCCACCTTCTGAAGCCTACCTCTGTCGATTCTTCAAATTCATTCTCTGTCCAGTTTTGTTCCCTTGCTGGTGAAGAGTTGTGATCCTTTGGAGGAGAAGAGGCATTCTGGTTTTTGGAATTTTCAGCCTTCTTGCACTGGCTTTTCCTCATCTTCGTCAATTTATCTGCCTTTGGTCTTTCATGTTGGTGACCTTCAAATGGGGTACCTGTGTGGACGTCCTTTTTGTTGATGTTGATGCTATTCTTTTCTGTTTGTTAGTTTTCTTTCTAACAGTTAGGTCCCTTTTCTGCAGGTCTGCAGGAGTTTTTTGGAGATCCACCCCAGACCCTGTTTGCTTGGATATCACCAGCCGAGGCTGCAGAATAGCAAAGATTGCTGCCTGTTCCTTCCTCTGGAAGCTTTGTCTTAGAGGGACACCTGCCATGTGCCAGCTGGAGCTCTCCTGTATGAGGTGTTTGTTGACCCCTGCTGGGAGGTTTCTTCCAGTCAGGAGGCACCAGGATCAGGGACCTACTTGAGGAGGCAGTCTGTCCCTTAGCAGAGCTCAAGTGCTGTACTGGGAGATCCACTGCTCTCTTCAAAGCCAGCAGGCAGGAAAGTTTAAGTCTGCTGAAGCTGTGCCCACTGCTGCCCCTTTTCCCAGGTGCTCTGTCCCAGGAAGATGGGAGTTTTATCTATAAGCCCCTGACTGCGGCTGCTGCCTTTCTTTCAGAGATGCCCTGCCCAGAGAGGAGGAATCTAGAGAGGCAGTCTGGGTACAGGGGCTTTGCTGAGCTGCAGTGGGCTTTGCTCAGTTCAAACCTCTTGGGGACTTTGTGTACACCATGAGGAGAAAACCACCTACTCAACCCTCAGCAATGCTGGATACCACCCCTCCCCGCCCACCCCCCAAGCTCAAGCATCTCAGGTTGACTTCAGACTGCTGTGCTGGCAGTGAGAACTTCAAGCCAATGGGTCTTAGCTTGCTGGACTCCATGGGGGTGGGATCTGCTGAGCTAGACCACTTGGCTCCCTGGCTTCAGCCCCCTTTCTAGGGGAGTGAACAGTTCTGTCTTGCTGGCATTCCAGGCACCACGGGCGTATGAAAAAAAATCTCCTGCAGCTAGCTCGGTGTCTGCCCAAGTGGCTGCCCAGTTTTGTGATTGAAACCCAGGGCCCTGGTGATGTAGGCACCCAAGGAAATCTCCTGGTCTGTGGGTTGTGAAGATGGTGGGAAAAGCACAGTATCTGGGCTGGAATGCACCATCCCTCATGGCACAGTCTCTCACGGCTACCCTTGGTTAGGGGAGGGAGTTCCCTGACCCCTTGTGTTTCCTGGGTTAGGCAACACCTCACCCTGCTTCTGCTCATCCTCTGTGGGCTGCACCCACTGTCTAACCAATCCCAATGAGATCAGCCATGTACCTCAGTTGGAAATGCAGAAATCACCTGCCTTCTGTGTTGATCTTGCTGGGAGCTGCAGACTGGATCTGTTTTTATTTGGCCATCTTGAGAAGTTTGAGCAATATTTTATTCTTAATACTTTCTCCAAAACTTATCTCTAGGACATTTAGCCAGTTTCAAGCCTCTGTGTTATTTTGGAACCAGAGTCAGACTCTGAGTTTTGATTTTCTTGACCTATCCTTGGGATATGTTTAGAATGTACAAGATTTGGTTGTGAGATTGTCAAAAGACATCACCTTAGTAGGTGAGATTGAGGGAGTTCCCAGCAAAGTGCAGAGAAATTTCACCCAAGCTCTACATGGCCCACGCTACTAGTTATGTGCTTACCATCCATTTTCCCTTTCCTCCTTACTAACAAAACTACAAAATAGACATCTTTAAGAAGCAGGAAATATGAAACAATACCCATATCAAAGACAATTATCAGAAAGGAAACAGACCTGCACAAATGTCCATCATGTCAGAGAAGCATCTAAAGTAACAGTGATAAATATGAAAAAGAACCCTCATGAAAAGATAATCATAATGCGTTTAAGAATGGAGAGTTTCTGAACAGATTAAAACTGTAAATTTTAAATATATGAAATAAAACTTTATTGGATGAGGTTAACAGCAGATTAGATACAACATTTTAAAAAGAACAGTGTGCCTGAAAACAGATCAAGAGAGATTATCCTAATTTTATCACAGAAATGAAAAGCTTTAGAAAAAAAGGCACAAAACCTTAATAACTTGTGGGATAGTAGGTAACAGCCCCCCAGCCTGCCACACACACACACAGGAGAGAGAGAGAAAGGGAGGGAGAGAGAGTCTGAATGTCTGGGTCCTTCCAGAATTGTTATTGAAATTTAATCCCCATTCAATTGTATTAAAAGGTGGGAATTTAAGGAGATTAGGATCATGAGACTCTGCCCCGTGAATGGGATTAATGCCCTTATAAAAGAGTAAGCATCGGTCCCTTCTGACCTTTTTCTCCTTCTGTCGTATGAGCACATAGCGTTAGCCCCCTCTGGAAGACACAGCAAGGCACTATCTTAGAAGCAAGGAGTAAGCCTTTACCAGGCACAGAATCTGCTGATGCCTTGAGCTTGGATTTCCTAGCCTACAGAATTATGAGAAATAGATTTATATTATTTATAAATTAACCAGTCTGTGGTATTTTGTTATAGCACTACAAACACACACATATCACACACACACATATACACATATACATACACACATGAATGCACACACACATAATTGAAGATCCAGAGGGGAAAAGAGAGAAAATGGGCAGAAAAATATTTTAGAAAATATTAACTGAAAATATCTCATATTTGGTAAAAATTTTCAACCTACTTATTCAAGATTTCAGTAACTTAGGCAGAATAACCTGAGTCACCTAGTTTCACAAGAGTCAAACTATTGTAAGTGAAAGATAGAAAAAGGTAATATCTTAAAAGCCACTGGAAGAAAAAGACACATACATGGGCAAAGAACGATAAAAATGAAGGCTGATTTCTCATTAGAAGCAATGAAGTCAAGAGCAAGTAAACATTTTAAATGCATTCATGTTTGTGTTTGTAGGATACTATTGGTAGAATAATATATCCAGTGAAAATATACTTCAAAATGAAGGTAAGATAAAGACATTAAGATTGAAAAAGAAGGAATTGCTGTGAATACAGTCACACTTCAAGATAAGAATATTTTCCTTCCTTCCTTCCTTCTTTCCTTCCTTCCTTCTTTCTTCTTTCTTTATTTATCTTCTTTCTCTTCTTTCTTCTTTCTTTTTTTCACATTTATTCCCCTTTTGTTAACTGATTTAAAAGGTAACTTTATAAAACAATATGCATATAATTGTATTGTAGAATCTATAACAGAGAAATATAATGTTTACTAATAAAAGTACAGAGAAGGTGATGGCAATAAAGCTATATTGGAGTAAGAAAATGACAAGAGGGGGGAGGAGCTAAGATGGCCAAATAGGAACACTTCCAGTCTACAGCTCCCAGTGTGAGCGATGCAGAAAACGGGTGATTTCTGAATTTCCAACTGAGGTACCGGGTTTATCTCACTGAGGAATGCTGGACAGTGGATGCAGTGCACCATGTGTGAGCCAAAGCAGGGTGAGGCATTGCCTCACCAGGGAAGTGCAAGGGGTGAGGGAATTCCCCTTTCTAGTCAAAGAAAGTGGTGACAGACGGAACCTGGAAAATCGGGTCACTCCCAACCTAATACTGCACTTTTACAACAGGCTTAAAAAACGGCACACCAGGAGATTATATCCCATGCATGGCTCAGAGGATCCTATGCCCGGCTCAGAGGATCCTATGCCCACGGAGTCTCTCTCATTGCTAGACAGCAGTCTGAGATCAAACTGCAAGGCGGCAGCGAGGCTTGGGGAGGGGAGCCTGCCATTGCCAAGGCTTGAGTAGGTAAACAAAGCAGCTGGGAAGCTCGAACTGGGTGGAGCCCACCACAGCTCAGGGAGGCCTGCCTGCCTCTGTAGGCTCCACCTCTGGGGGCAGGGCAAAGAAAAACAAAAGGCGGCAGTAAAGTCTGCAGACTTAAATGTCAGTGTCTGACAGCTTTGAAGAGAGTAGTGGTTCTCCCAGCATGCAGCTTGAGATCTGAGAACGGACAGATTGCCTCCTCAAGTGGGTCCCTGACCATGAGTAGCCTAACTGGGAGGCACCCCCCAGTAGAGGTGGACTGATAACTCACATGGCCGGGTACTCCTCTGAGACAAAACTTCCAGAGGAACGATCAGGCAGCAGCATTTGCGGGTCACCAATATCTGCTGTTTTGCAGCCACCACTGCTGATACCCAGGAAAACAAGGTCTGGTGTGGACCTCCAGCAAACTCCAATAGACCTGCAGCTGAGGGTCCTGACTGTTAGAAGGAAAACTAACAAACAGAAAGGACATCCGCACCAAAAACCCATCTGTATGTCACCATCATCAAAGATAAAAGGTAGATAAAACCATAAAGATGGGGAAAAAGCAGAACAGAAAAACTGGAAACTCTAAAAATCAGAGCACCTCTCCTCCTCCAAAGAAACACAGCTCCTCACCAGCAATGGAACAAAGCTGGATGGAGAATGACTTTGATGAGTTGAGAGAAGGCTTCAGATGATAAAACTACTCCAAGCTAAAGGAGGAAGTTTGAACCCACGGGAAAGAAGCTAAAAACCTTGAAAAAAATTAGACACATGGCTAACTAGAATAACCAATGCAGAGAAGTCCTTAAAAGACCTGATGGAGCTGCAAACCAAGGCACCAGAACTACATGATGAATGCACAAGCCTCAGCAGCCGTTTCAATCAACTGAAAGAAAGGGTATCAGTGATGGAAGATGAAATGAATGAAATGAAGTGAGAACAGAAGTTTAGAGAAAAAAGCATAAAAAGAAATGAACAAAGCCTCCAAGAATTATGGGACTATGTGAAAAGACCAAATCTACGTCTGATTGGTGTACCTGAAAGTGATGGGGAGAATGGAACCAAGTTGGAAAACACTCCACAGGATATTATGCAGGAGAACTTCCCCAAACTAGCAAGGCAGGCCAATACTCAGATTCAGGAAATACAGAGAACGCCACAAAGATATTCCTCGAGAAGAGCAACTCCAAGACACATAATTGTCAGATTCATCAAAGTTGAAATGAAGGAAAAAATGTTAAGGACAGCCAGACAGAAAGGTCGGGTTACCCACAAAGGGAAGCCCATCAGACTAACAGCTGATCTTTCGGCAGAAACTCTACAAGCCAGAAGAGAGTGGGGGACAATATTCAACATTCTTAAAGAAAAGAATTTTCAACCCAGAATTCCATATCCAGCCAAAATAAGCTTCAAAAGTGAAGGAGAAATAAAATACAGACAAGCAAATGCTGAGAGATTTTGTCAACACCAGGCCTGCCCTAAAAGAACTCCTGAAGGAAGCACTAACATGGAAATGAACAACCAGTACCAACCACTGCAAAAACGTGCCAAACTGTAAAGACCATCAAGGCTAGGAAGAAACTGCATCAAGTAACAAGCAAAATAATCAGCTAACATCATAATGATAGGATCAAATTCACACGTAATAATATTAACCTTAAATGTAAATGGGCTAAATGCTCCAATTAAAAGTCACAGACTGGCAAATTGGATATAGAGTCAAGACCCATCAGTGTGCTGTATTCAGGAAACCCATCTCACGTGCAGAGACACACATAGGCTGCAAATAAAGGGATGGAGGAAGATCTACCAAGCAAATGCAAAACAAAAACAGGCAGGGTTTGCAATCCTAGTATCTGATAAAACAGGCTTTAAACCAACAAAGATCAAAAGAATCAAAGAAAGCCATTACATAATGGTAAAGGGATCAATTCAACAAGAAGAACTAATTATCCTAAATATATATGCACCCAATACAGGAGCACCCAGATTCATAAAGCAAGTCCTTAGTGACCTACAAAGAGACTTAGACTCCCACACATTAATAATGGGAGACTTCAACACCCCACTGTCAACATTAGACAGATCAACGAGACAGAAAGTTAACAAGGATATCCACAAATTGAACTCAGCTCTGCACCAAGAGAACCTAATAGACATCTACAGAAATCACCCCAAATCAACAGAATATACATTTTTTTCAGCACCACACCACACCTATTCCAAAATTGACCACATAATTGGAAGTAAAGCACTCCTCAGCAAATGTAAAAGAACAGAAATTATAACAAACTGTCTCTCAGACCACAGTGCAATCAAACTAGAACTCAGGATTAAGAAACTCACTCAAAACTGCTCAAATACATGGAAACTGAACAACCTGCTCCTGAATGACTACTGGGTACATAACGAAATCAAGGCAGAAATAAAGATATTCTTTGAAACCAATGAGAACAAAGACACAACATACCAGAATCTCTGGGACACATTCATAGCAGTGTGTAGGGGGAAATTTATAGCACTAAATGCCCACAAGAGAAAGCAGGAAAGATCTAAAAGTGACACCCTAACATCACAATTAAAAGATCTAGAGAAGCAAGAGCAAACACATTCAAAAGCTAGCAGAAGGCAAGAAATAACTAAGATCAGAGCAGAACTGAAGGAAATAAAGACACAAAAAACCTTCAAAAAATCAATGAATCCAGTGGCTGGTTTTTTGAAAAGATCAACAAAATTGATAGACCGCTAGCAAGACTGATAAAGAAGAAAAGAGACAAGAATCAAATAGATGCAATAAAAAAAGATAAAGGGGATATCACCACCGATCCCACAGAAATACAAACTACCATCAGAGAATACTATAAATACCTCTACGCAAATAAACTAGAAAATATAGAAGAAATAGACAACTTCCTCAACACATACACCCTCCCAAGACTAAACCAGGAAGAAGTTGAATCTCTCAATAGACCAATAACAGGCTCTGAAATTGAGGCAATAATTAATAACTAACCAACGAAAAAACGTCCAGGACCAGATGGATTCATAGCGGAATTCTACCAGAGGTACAAGGAGGAGCTGGTACCATTCCTTCTGAAACTATTCCAATCAATAGAAAAAGAGGGAATCCTCCCTAACTCGTTTTATGAGGCCAGCATCATCCTGATACCAAAGCCTGGCAGAGACACAACAAAAAAAAGAGAATTTTAGACCAATATCCTTGATGAACATTGATGCAAAAATCCTCAATAAAATACTGGCAAACTGAATCCAGCAGCACATCAAAAACCTTCTCCACCATGATCAAGTGGGTTTCATCACTGGGATGCAAGGCTGGTTCAACCTATGAAAATCAGTAAACGTAATCCAGCATATAAACAGAACCAAAGACAAAGCCACATGATTATCTCAATAGATAAAGAAAAGGCCTTTGACAAAATTCAACAACTCTTCATGCTAAAAGCTCTCAATAAATTAGGTATTGATAGGACGTATCTCAAAATAATAAGAGCTATCTATGACAAATCCACAGCCAATATCATACTGAATGGACAAAAACTGGAAGCATTCCCTCTGATAACTTGCTCAAGACAGGGATGCCCTCTCTCACCACTCCTATTCAACATAGTGTTGGAAGTTCTGGCCAGGGCAATCAGGCAGAAGAAGGAAATAAAGGACATTCAGTTAGGAAAAGAGGAAGTCAAATTGTCCCTGCTTGCAGATGACATGATTGTATATCTAGAAAACCCCATCGTCTCAGCCCAAAATCTCCTTAAGCTGATAAGCAACTTCAGGAAACTCTCAGGATATAAAATCAATTTGCAAAAATCACAAGTATTCTTACACACCAATAACAGACAAACAGAGGGTGAAATCATGAGTGAACTCCCATTCACAATTGCCTCAAAGAGAATAAAATACCTAGGAATCCAACATACAAGGGATGTGAAGGACCTCTTCAAGGAGAACAACAAACCACTGCTCAATGAAATAAAAGAGGATACAAACAAATGGAAGAACATTCCATGCTCATGGGTAGGAACAATCAATATAGTGAAAATGGCCATACTGCCCAAGGTAATTTATAGATTCAATGCCATCTCCACCAAGCTACCAATGACTTTCTTCACAGAATTGGAAAAAACTACTTTAAACTTCATATGGAACCAAAAAAGAGCCCGCATTGCCAAAACAATCCTAAGCTGAAAGAACAAAGCTGAGGGCATCATGCTACCTGACTTCAAACTATACTACAAGGCTACAGTAAACAAAACAGCATGGTACTGGAACCAAAATGGAGATATAGACCTATGGAAGAGAACAGAGCCTTCAGAAATAATGCTGCATATCCACAACTATCTGATCTTTGACAAACCTGACAAAAACAATCAATGGGGAAATGATTCCCTATTTAATAAATGGTGCTGGGAATACTGGCTAGCCATATGTAGAAAGCTGAAACTGGATCCCTTCCTTACACCTTATAAAAAATTAATTCAAGATGGATTAAAGACTTACATGTTAGACCTACAACTATAAAAACCCTAGAAGAAAACCTAGGCAATACCATTCAGGACATAGGCATGGGCAAGGACTTCATGTCTAAAACACAAAAGCAATGGCAATGACAGCCAAAATTGACAAATGGGATCTAATTAAACTAAAGGGCTTCTGCACAGCAAAAGAAACCACCATCAGAGTGAACAGGCAACCTATGGAATGGGAGAAAATTTTTGCAACCTACTCATCAGACAAAGGGCTAATATCCAGAATCTACAATGAACTCAAACAAATTTACAAGAAAAAAACAAACAACCCTGTCAAAAAGTGGGCAAAGGATATGAACACACACTTCTCAAAAGAAGGCATTTATGCAGCCAAAAAACACATGAAAAAATGCTCATCATCACTGGCCATCAGAGAAATGCAAATCAAAACCACAATGAGATACCATCTCACACCAGTTAGAAGGGCTATCATTAAAAAGTCAGGAAACAACAGGTGCTGGAGAGGATGTGGAGAAATATGAACACTTTTTTTTTCTTTTTTTTCTTTATTTATTATCACTATACTTTAAGTTTTAGGGTACATGTGCACAATGTGCAGGTTATTTACATATGTATACATGTGTCATGCTGGTGCGCTGCACCCACTAACTCGTCATCTAGCATTAGGTATATCTCCCAATACTATCCCTCCCCCCCTCCCCCTCCCCCCACCCCACAACACTCCCCAGAGTGTGATGGTCCCCTAACAGGAGCACTTTTACACTGTTCGTGGGACTGTAAACTAGTTCAACCATTGTGGAAGTCAGTGTGGTGATTCCTCAGGGATCTAGAACTAGAAATACCATTTGACCCAGCCATTCCATTACTGGGTATATACCTAAAGGATTATAAATCATGCTGCTATAAAGACACATGCACACGTATGTTTATTGTGGCACTATTCACAATAGCAAAGACTTGGAAACAACCAAAATGTCCAACAACGATAGACTGGATTAAGAAAATGTGGCACATATACACCATGGAATACTATGCAGCCATAAAAAATGATGAGTTCATGTCCTTTGTAGGGATGTGGATGAAGCTGGAAACCATCATTCTCAGCAAACTATCGCAAGGACAAAAAACCAAACACCACATGTTCTCACTTATCGGTGAGAATTGGACAATGAGAACACATGGACACAGTAAGGGGAACATCACACACCGGGGACTGTTGTACATTGGGGGAAGGGGGGAGGAATAGCATTAAGAGATATACCTAATTAAAAAGGTTATTCCTACCCCCTTCCACATTATATTGAAAGGTAGAAAAAGTCAATTTAATAAACATTTTAAAACCCCACATATTCAGAATATTGGATACGTTATAAATGATCAAATATGGGCATAAGGATATTTAGAGTACCCCATCAGTTTTAAAAAATACATTTATACTGATTTCTGGCATTCAATTTATGTTCTTTAAATATCTAAAAGACTCATTTCTAAATCTTCTAGCTCCTGGAGAAGGGCTATCTCTTTTTGAATTTTCCCCAGCTGCTTTTTTTTCCTAGCTGTTTGCCAGTTGCTGCTTGTTATTTCAGTTGTTTGATTGTTTTCAGTTTCTTAGGTTCTCATGTTTTCCCCGCTATCTTAAAATCTCTTCATGTTGGCTGAGAGAAGATATTTTGGGGTGTGTTACCTGTTTTGCAGCGACTGGCCTTATGCTTCCTTTGTTCTTAGGGGATGTTTTGGGAAATGGCTTATTATTTGCCCTTGTAGTTTCATATTCTCTGAGGCCCCTCCTCATGCAGCTTAAGAACAATGACTTGTTCATTTCTTCTAACTGGAGTTCTAAAAGTCATTGCAATATTGGCTCCTCACAGGGTACTTAGAACTGCTTGATAAGTTATTGATTTTATTGGAAATACTATGTCCAGAATTTTTTGCTAAGGATTTCTGCATTTGATGGCATGATATTCTTGTGCAGGATAGAGCTAGTATAATTGAAAATCTCACACACATTATTAACACATAACCTGGGGGCACATGTAGTAGTTGTTGCAAGACAGGTTCAGTAGGCAAGTATCAGTCATGTATTACACCATATTAATAGAATGAAGGACAAAAATTGCATGATCATCTCACTGGATGCAGAAAAAACATTGTACAGCTCTTTATCTGGGCACTAAGCAAAGTATGTAAAATTTGAAGCCATAGGTTTGGAAATAAGTTTGTGGTTTTTAACACCCCACAATTTGTCCCCTTGATTTCCAAACCCCTACAGTAGTAATATGTATGAATACAGTGGTAATATGTATGAAGGCTATAGCAGACTGTATTACAAGAGCCAGTTCCAAAGTCAAGTTTACAATCACACAGCTAGTAGAGAATTGCTGCTTTGACAAGAGTTTTCCTAGAAGGCCCAACTCATTATAAACAGGATCACTCTTCAGTATTTACATTATAGCATTTTATTTGTTTGCCATATAGAAACATGTTTGTTATTGACAGTAGGAAACTATGGTTTTGTTGACATCTGCACTACCTATTACCAACTCACCAGTAGCTTTTAGATTGTATTTTAGTTCTCACTGCTAATGTTACTTTGCCTCAAACCAGGAAACAGGCACCATCTTGGAAGCAAGGAGTAAGCCTTTACCAGGCACAGAATCTGCTGATGCCTTGAGCTTGGATTTCCTAGCCTACAGAATTATGAGAAATAGATTTATATTATTTATAAATTAACCAGTCTATGGTATTTTGTTATAGCACTACAAACACACACATATCACACACACACATATACACATATACATACACACATGAATACACACACACATAATTGAAGATCCAGAGGGGAAAAGAGAGAAAATGGGCAGAAAAATATTTTAGAAAATATTAACTGAAAATATCTCATATTTGGTAAAAATTTTCAACCTACTTATTCAAGATTTCAGTAACTCAGGCAGAATAACCTGAGTCACCTAGGTTGACAAGAGTCAAACTATTGTAAATGAAAGATAGAAAAAGGTAATATCTTAAAAGCCACTGGAAGAGAAAGACACATACATGGGTGCAGAACGATAAAAATGAAGGCTGACTTCTCATTAGAAGCAATGAAGTCAAGAGCAAGTAAACATTTTAAATGCATTCATGTTTGTGTTTGTAGGATACTATTTGTAGAATAATATGTCCAGTGAAAATATATTTCAAAATGAAGGTAAGATAAAGACATTAAGATTGAAAAAGAAGGAATTGCTGTGAATACAGTCACACTTAAAGATAAGAAAATTTTCCTTCCTTCCTTCCTTCCTTCCTTCATTCCTTCTTTCTTTCTTTCTCTTCTTTCTTGTTTTTTTTTTTCACATTTATTCCCCTTTTATTAACTGATTTAAAAGGCAACTTTACAAAACAATATGTATATAATTATACTGTAGAATCTATAACAGAGAAATATAATGTTTACTAATAAAAGCACCTAGAAAATGGTGGGAATAAAGCTATATTGGAGTAAGAAAATGACAAGAGGGGGGAGGAGCCAAGATGGCCGAATAGGAACAGCTCCAGTCTACAGCTCCCACTGTGAGTGACACAGAAGATGGGTGATTTCTGCATTTCCAACTGAGGCACCAGGTTCATCTCACTAGGGAGTGCCAGACTGTCGGTGCAGGACAGTGGGTGCACTGCACCCTGTGTGAGCTGAAGCAGGGTGAGGCATCGCCTCACCTGGGAAGTGCAAGGGGTCAGGGAATTCCCTTTCCTAGTCAAAGAAAGGGGTGACAGACGGCACCTGGAAAATCGGGTCACTCCCACCCTAATACTGCACTTTTCCAACGAGCTTAACAAATGGCAAACCAGGAGATTATATCCCGTGCATGGCTCAGAGGGTCCTATGCTCATGGAGTCTCGTTCATTACTAGCACAGCAGTCTGACATCAAACTGCAAGGCGGCAGTGAGGCTGGGGGAGGGGCTCCAGACATTGCCAAGGCTTGAGTAGGTAAACAAGGCAGCTGGGAAGCTCAAACTGTGTGGAGCCCACCACAGCTCCAGGAGTCCTGCCTGCCTCTGTAGGCTCCACCTCTGGGGGCAGGGCACAGACAAACAAAGGGCAGCAGTAACCTCTGCAGACCTAAATGTCCCTGTCTGACAGCTTTGAAGAGAGTAGTGTTTCTCCCAGCATGCAGCTTGAGATCTAAGAATGGGCAGACAGCCTCCTCAAGTGGGTCCCTGACCACCGAGTAGGCCAACTGGGAGGCACCCCCCAGTAGGGGTGAACTGATGCCTCACACGGCCGGGTACTCCTCTGAAACAAAACTTCCAGAGGAATGATCAGGAAGCAGCATTTGGGGTTCACCAATATCTGCTGTTTTGCAGCCACCACTGCTGATACCCAGGCAAACAGGGTCTGGAGTGGACCTCCAGCAAACTCCAATAGACCTGCAGCTGAGGGTCCTGACTGTTAGAAGGAAAACTAACAAACAGAAAGGACATCCACACCAAAAACCCATCTGTACGTCACCATCATCAAAGACAAAAGGTAGATAAAACCATAAAGATGGGGAAAAAACAGAGCAGAAAAACTGGAAACTCTAAAAATCAGAGCACCTCTTCTCCTCCATAGGAACGTAGCTCCTCACCAGCAACAGAACAAAGCTGGATGGAGAATGACTTTGACAAGTTGAGAGAAGAGGACTTCAGATGATCAAACTACACCGAGCTAAAGGAGGAAGTTCCAACACATGGCAAAAAAGTTAAAAACCTTGAAAAAAAATTAGGTGAATGGCTAACTAGAATAACCAATGCAGAGAAGTCCTTAAAGGACCTGTTGGAGCTGAAAACCAAGGCATGAGAACTACGTGATGAATGCACAAGCCTCAGTAGCTGATTCAATCAATTGGAAGAAAGGGTATCGGTGATGGAAGATGAAATGAATGAAATGAAGTGAGAAGGGAAGTTTAGAGAAAAAAGCATTAAAAAAAATGAACAAAGCCCCCAAGAAGTATGGGACTATGTGAAAAGACCAAATCTACGTCTGATTGGTATACCTGAAAGTGACGGGGAGAATGGAACCAAGTTGGAAAACACTCTGCAGGATAATATCCAGGAGAACTTCCCCAATCCAGCAAGGCAGGCCAACATTCAAATTCAGGAAATACAGAGAATGCCACAAAGACACTCCTCGAGAAGAGCAACTCCAAGACACATAATTGTCAGATTCATCAAAGTTGAAATGAAGGAAAAAATGTTAAGGACAGCCAGACAGAAAGGTCGGGATACCCACAAAGGGAAGCTCATCAGACTAACAGCTGATCTCTCGGCAGAAACTCTACAAGCCAGAAGAGAGTGGGGGACAATATTCAACACTCTTAAAGAAAAGAATTTTCAACCCAGAATTCCATATCCAGCCAAAATAAGCTTCATAAGTGAAGGAGAAATAAAATACTTTACAGACAAGCAAATGCTGAGAGATTTTGTCACCACCAGGCCTGCCCTAAAAGAACTCCTGAAGGGAGCACGAAACATGGAAAGGAACAACCAGTACCAGCCACTGCAAAAACATGCCAAATTGTAAAGACCATCAAGGCTAGGAAAAAACTGCATCAACTAACGTGCAAAATAACCAGCTAACATCACAATGACAGGATCAAATTCACACATAACAATATTAACCTTAAATGTAAATGGGCTAAATGCTCCAATTGAAAGTCACAGACTGGCAAATTGGATATAGAGTCAAGACCCATCAGTGTGCTGTATTCAGGAAACCCATCTCACATGCAGAGACACACATAGGCTCCAAATAAAGGGATGGAGGAAGATCTACCAAGCAAATGGAAAACAAAAAAAGGCAGGATTGGCAATCCTAGTCTCTGATAAAACAGACTTTAAACCAACACAGATCAAAAGTGACAAAGAAGATCATTACATAAGGGTAAAGGGATCAATTCAACAAGAAGAGCTAATTATCCTAAATATATATGCACCCAATACAGGAGCACCCAGAATCATAAAGCAAGTCCTTAGTGACCTACAAAGAGACTTAGACTCCCACACAATAATAATTGGAGACTTCAACACCCCACTGTCAACACTAGACAGATCAATGAGACAGAAAGTTAACAAGGATATCCAGGAATTGAACTCAGTTCTGCACCAAGTGGACCTAATAGACATCTACAGAACTCTCCATCCCAAATCAACAGAATATACATTCTTTTCAGCACCACACCACACCTATTCCAAAATTGACCACATAGTTGGAAGTAAAGCCCTCCTCAGCAAATGTAAAAGAACAGAAATTATAACAAACTGTCTCTCAGACCACAGTACAATCAAACTAGAACTCAGGATTAAGAATCTCACTCAAAACTGCTCAAATACATGGAAACTGAACAACCTGCTCCTGAATGACTACTGGGTAAATAACGAAATGAGGGCAGAAATAAAGTTGTTCTTTGAAACCAATGAGAACAAAGACACAATATACCAGAATCTCTGGGACACATTCAAAGCACTGTGTAGAGGGAAATTTATAGCACTAAATGCCCACAAGAGAAAGCAGGAAAGATCTAAAATTGACACCTTAACACCACAATTAAAAGAACTAGAGAAGCAAGAGCAAACACATTCAAAAGCTAGCAGAAGGCAAGAAATAACTAAGATCAGGGCAGAAATGAAGGAAATAGAGACACAAAAAACCTTTCAGCAAAATCAAGGAATCCAGGAGCTGGTTTTTTGAAAAGATCAAGAAAATTGATAGACCGCTAGCAAGACTAATAAAGAAGAAAAGAGAGAAGAATCAAATAGATGCAATAAAAAATGATAAAGGGGATATCACCACCGATCCCACAGAAATACAAACTACCATCAGAGAATACTATAAACACCTCTACGCAAATAAACTAGAAAATCTAGAAGAAATGGATAAATTCCTCGACACATACACCCTCCCAAGACTAAACCAGGAAGAAGTTGAATCTCTCAATAGACCAATAACAGGCTCTGAAATTGAGGCAATAATTAATAATTTACCAACCAAAAAAAGTCCAGGACCGGATGGATTCACAGCGGAATTCTACCAGAGGTAAAAGAAGGAGCTGGTACCATTCCTTCTGAAACTATTCCAATCAATAGAAAAAGAGGGAATCCTCCCTAACTCATTTTATGAGGCCAGCATCATCCTGATACCAAAGCCTGGCAGAGACACAACAAAAAAAGGGAATTTTAGGCCAATATCCTTGATGAACATTGATGCAAAAATCCTCAATAAAATACTGGCAAACCGAATCCAGCAGCACATCAAAAAGCTTATCCACCATGATCAATTGGGCTTCATCCCTGGGATGCAAGGCTGGTTCAGCATATGAAAATCTATAAACATAATCCAGCATATAAACAGAACCAAAGACAAAAACCACATGATTATCTCAATAGATGCAGAAAAGGCCTTTGACAAAATTCAACAATGCTTCATCCTAAAAACTCTCAATAAATTAGGTATTGATAGGATGTATCTCAAAATAATAAGAGCTATCTATGACAAACCCACAGCCAACATCATACTGAGTGGGCAAACTGGAAGCATTCCCTTTGAAAACTGGCACAAGACAGGGATGCCCTCTCTCACCACTCCTATTCAACATAATGTTGGAAGTTCTGGCCAGGGCAATCAGGCAGGAGAAGAAAATAAAGGGTATTCAATTAGGAAAAGAGGAAGTCAAATTGTCCCTGTTTGCAGATGACATGATTGTATATCTAGAAAACCCCATCGTCTCAGCCCAAAATCTCCTTAAGCTGATAGGCAACTTCAGCAAAGTCTCAGGATACAAAATCAAAATCAGCTACTAAATGGGTGAGAAGCATTTAGTGAGTGCTTAACGCACTCCAGGACGTTGGAATCCAATGATGAACAAGGAAGTGTTCTTCATCAGCCACAACTGTAGGAGACAGACAGCAAGTAGTTAAAATACAAGATCTAAACTACTTTGTCCTGGGTATACCTGGCACCAATTAGGTATCTTTTTTGAGAAGGAAATGTTTCCACAAAGAGGTCAGATAGATTATTTAAAATGGTAAACTGAGGCACAATCAGATATATAGTGTTTATTTGAGTAACAAGCAATTCATGAATTGGGAAACACAAAACCAAAAGAGGGTTAGTGTTTCAATGACAAAGAATCAGAGGCAAAGATTTGTAGGATGAATGTGGATGCAAAATAAATACAGTATTTGATTGTTTGCAGCTATAATATCATCTTTTTTGGTTTATGTTGTTGGAAATCCCTAAACTCATGAACATATATTAGTCAGCTGCTTATGATTGGCTGAGACTAAGTTTCATTTCTGTTCAACATAAGCATTTACCAGAAATGACCCAAGTTAAAATTTTGCTTCTGTTTGCAGTTTAAGCAATGTTAAGGCTATTTTTAATTTTCCATTGGTTTTGTTTGCTCAGCAATGTTTAGGCCCGGTCTCCATTTTAATTGTGCTTTAAGAATTTTCCCTTTTTAGTTATTTCTTCAGCAAGCTGACAGTGTGACCAAATGGCATAGCATTACTCTCAGTTACCAATGTTGATGTAGTCCTTGGAAAGAAAAGTCAGGAAGATGTTGTTGTCATCATTAATCGTTATGCTGGGGTTCAGAGTTACAAAGCTACTGTGAACAATTACTTGGTCCATATTCGTTTCCTTGAGTTGGCTGATCCTAAGGGCAATCTTTTGACATGTGAGTGGCCACTGGAAAGAATAAAAACCCTTGATAGAATGTAATGCACCAGGAGGTAAACACAATAACTATAAGGAGAATAATAGCCAAGAATTGAAAAATTCCTCTGAGCAAAGATTCCCAGGAGTCAAATTTAATCCACTAAAGAAATCAATGCCCATTCAGTATGATATTGGCTGTGGGTTTGTCATAGATAGCTCTTATTATTTTGAGATATGTCCCATCAATACTTAATTTATTGAGAGTTTTTAGCAAGAAGGGTTTTTGAATTTTATCAAAGGCCTTTTCTGCATCTATTGAGGTAATCATGTGGTTTAGGTCGTTGGTTCTGTTTATATGCTGGATTACATTTTATGATTTGTGTATGTTGAACCAGCCTTGCATCCCAGGGATGAAGCCCACTTGATCATGGTGGATAAGCTTTTTGATGTGCTGCTGGATTCGGTTTGCCAGTATTTTATTGAGGATTTTTGCATCGATGTTCATCAGGGATATTGGATAATCCTGCTGCTATAAAGACATCATGCTGCTATAAAGACACATGCACACATATGTTTATTGTGGCACTATTCACAATAGCAAAGACTTTGGAACCAACTCAAATGTCCAACAATGATAGACTGATTAAGAAAATGTGGCACATATACTCCATGGAATACTATGCAGCCATAAAAAATGATGAGTTCATGCCCTTTGTAGGGACATGGATGAAACTGGAAACCATCATTCTCAGCAAACTATCACAAGGACAAAAAACCAAACACCGCATGTTCTCACTCATAGATGGGAATTGAACAATGAGAACACATGGACACAGGAAGGGGAACATCACACACTGGGGCCTGTTGTGGGGTGGGGGGAGAGGGGAGGGATAGCATTAGGAGATATACCTAATGCTAAATGACGAGTTAATGGGTGCAGCACACCAACGTGACACATGTATACATATGTAACAAACCTGCACGTTGTGCACATGTACCCTAAAACTTAAAGTATAATAAAAAACATTAATGGAGAAGGTGGGACTTGTCTGATGAAAGATTTATATTTGTTTCTTAAGATCCTTTAAATTGGAGGCAATAATTTCTAATTTGTTAACATAGAAACATCTTTATCACTATAAGCAGAATCTTCTTTCACAGTTTTTTATTTGTACAAATTTATAGGGAACATGTGAATTTTTGTTACATGTACATAATGCACAGTGAAGGGTATTTAGGGTGTCCATCACACAAATACAGTATATTTTTGTTTAACTATAGTCACCCTACTCTGCCATCAAACACTGAACTTATTACTTCTATCTAATTTTATGTTTGTCCCCTTTAACACAATTCTCTTCATCCACCCTCTACTTTCTCAGTCTCTGCTATCTTTTCACTCTTTTCTACTTCCATGTGATCGAATCTTTCAACTCCCACATATGATATTTCAACTCCCACATATGATATTTTAACTCCCACATGTGATATTGTTCTTCTTGTGCTTGGCTTATTTCACTTAAGATAAAGACCTCCAGGGAGATCTGACAAGATGGCCGAATAGGAACAGCTCTGGTCTGCAGCTCCCAGCAAGACCAATGCAGAAGACCAGTGATTTCTGCATTTCCAACTGAGGTATCCTATTCATCTAGGAAGTGGGAGCAGCTCATGTGTTGGGGTGATTGGACCCAACACCAGGTCATGGGGGTGACGAAGTCTGGCAGAGTCAAAGGAATGAGAAAAGACGTTTGAGAGAGAAAGTGGGCCCAGGGGTCCAACGTGAGTATGGAGGCTGCGAAGGTCCCAAGCTCTGGAAGCCCAGACTATTTATTGGTGATCAAACAAAGAAACAGGTGGTGAGAATGTGGGGTTGAAAGGGAGTATTGCATTAAGCACATGATTTACAGCTGTGATGGTTTAGCATATGCTCTGCTACTTGAGATAATGGAGAGAAGGTTCTTCTAACTCAAGATACAATCGATCCTGGGAGAGCAAGAAGCAAGGAGCCAGCATCTAGACACATTCCAGAGGCCATGAGGGGTTTTATGCCCTGAGCCCTGGATTCTATCCAAGCCATGAGGGGTTTTATCCCCTGGGCTTAGATTATGGTGCATCAGGGTAGCCTTCCACCCTTTAGCACAGAGCTTGGTGTTCCAAAGGCCAAGAGAGGTTTCAGACCCCGGACCCTGGACAGGTTCCAAGACTTTTTTACATTATGTCAGACATGCAAGCCCTGCCTCAGTTTTTCCCAACACTCAGCTTTTCCCAACATACCCCCCTTTTCTTTTTCATAAAACCACCACAGCTATCATTGCTTGTTCTTGATGGCAGCTTTCTCTTCAGAGGCGGTTTCCTCTTCAGAGGCAGCTTCTGCATCTGCAGACTAAAAGGAGACAGCACAAGCACACAACAACCAGAAAGAAACCCACAATGTAGAGCCTCCAATGGCCTTCAACTATAAATCTTTTGGAACGGGATAAGAGTTTTTTAAGGATCTCAGTTACAATATAAATACTTGGTGATGTTTCCCATAGTCTATTTAGAGACAGAGGGATCAAACTCCTTCCCTGGCTTTAATTATCAAGATAGTTATATTTTCATCAAAGGTTGAATTAATGCAGGTAAACAAGCAACAATCAGGGCATGTAATAAAGTGTGTATTATATCAAGAGTAACATTTCCTATTGCTAGCACGACTTTGAATCCAAAAGGTCCTGCTGGAGAGAAAAGAAAGAGCATTTTCATCCTTACCTCCTTCCCCTCTATTCCTTTTATATTTGCCCTCTCAGATTTTGATTGGACTTTGAGCCATAGCTAATTTCCATAATTCAGAATGTTCTTGTCTGTCCCTGCAAATCTCTGCTTGTCTTTGCTAGTCTCTACCTTTGTACCTCTTTAGGGCACTGACCAGTACCTCTTTAAGGCACTAACCTTATATTGCTAGTCTTTGCTTTTGTACCTCACTGACCAGTACCTCTTTAGGGCACTGACCAATACCTCTTTAGGGTACTGACCTTATATTGCTGGTCTTCATCTATCCGTATCTGTCCCTGTCTGTCCCTATGGTACCTGTTATTTCCTGTGAGTTCCTGCAAGTCCCTGTATTTTCCTACCTATCTCTACTTATCTCTATCTCTACTTACTTATCTCTATCTCTATTTACCTCTATCTCTATCTCTAGTTATGTCTATCTCTGTCTCTATTTATCTCTATCTCTATTTATGTATATCTCTATTTATGTCTATCTCTACTTACTTATCTCTACATCTTCCTGGAAACCTTTTTTATGACCCACATCAGCATCATCCTCAATTTCCTGGAACGAATTGTTGATCATGGCAATTAACATATTTAGCAAAACAATGACCATTGTAACATTACAGACTCCATAAAGAACATAACCAATGTTTTCAATGAATTTGTGGTTATAGTTGATGATCACTGATTTCACTTCAGAAAGTCCAAATATAGCCCAGAACATTGTCTTAAAACTCTCTTCAACGTTGTGAAGGCTTCATTTTGTTTTGCACCAATGTAGTAGGAGTAGAGGTTGAACATTCCAATCATAAAGGCCACAAACACCATAATGAATATGACCATGAACCTGAAGATGTCTTTGACTGCTCCTCCAAGTGACGTCTGCAGAGGTCCAAAGCTTTCATTTGCTGGCAAAATACAAGCTATCCCAGAGAAACTCAAAACCACAGCAACTGCACAAAGACCTTCAGACACCACCCAAGGATCAGAGGGGACCCACTCCCTCCTGGCCAAATTGTAGTATTTCACATTATCTCCCAGTGTTACTTCTGTCAAGTCCTTCAAAGTATCATTTGCATCAATGATGCTTTGGGCTTTGGAAGCATGCCAGAACGCCCTGAATCTTGCAATGAACAATGCTGTGAAAATCACTAACATACCAAAATCAAGCATATTCCACAACTCAAACAAATATTCCTTGGGGCCTTGAGTCCAAATTTCTTTACATTCAGTCCCATATCATGCCTCTGTGCTCATTAAATCTGTTTTTCTCCAGCAGAAGCAGGTTAACTGTGAAACTGAAGCTTCAAGATGACTTTACTTTCCCAGGCTCCTTCTAAGTCCTCACTTTGTCTTCTTTTTCTCTAAATGGGGCCTTCTGAATAAACAAGCCTCAGATTCCACTGGGTCTTACCCCATGTCTCACCCTCTTCATAATAAGTGCCTTAAGAAATTCAAGTAAGCAGAATGTTTGCTTTCACTTTGTCCCATTGTTACCCTGTTTCTTCCAAGTGCTCAGCTTTCCTGACGAGCTTCTTTCAGTGGTCCTCAGGTGTCCTTTGACGATGCATCCTCCACTTTCACATGCTCTAGCATTCCTTCACTGGGGTATTTGTCACCCCAAGTTGGGCAGCCAGGAATGTTGGGGTGATTGGACCCAACACCAGGTGGTGGGGGTGACAAAATCTGGTGGAGTCAAAGGAATGAGTAAAGACAGTTTGAGAGAGAAAGTGGGCCCAGGGCGCCAATGTGAGTAATGGAGGCTGTGAAGGCCCTGAGCTCTGGAAGCCCAGACTATTTATTGGTGATCAAACAAAGAAACAGGTGGTGAGAATGTGGGGTTGAAAGGGAACATTGCATTAAGCACATGATTTACAGCTATGACAGTTTAGCATATGCTCTGCTACTTGAGATAATGGAGAGAAGGTTCTTTTAACTCAAGATACAATCGATCCTGGCAGAGCAAGGAGCAAGGAGCCAGCAAGTCTAGACACATTCCAGAGGCCATGAGGGGTTTTATGTCCTGCGCTTACATTATGGTGCATCAGGGTAGGCTTCCACCCTTTAGCACAGAGCTTGGTGTTCCAAAGGCCAAGAGAGGTTTTAGACCCCGGACCCTGGACAGGTTCCAAGACTCTTTTACATTGTGTCAGACATGTAAGCCCTGCCTCAGCTTCTCCCAACACTCAGCTTTTCCCAACACCATGGAGGGTGAGCGTCACCTCACCTAGGACGTCCAAGCAGCCAGGGGCCTCCCTCCCACAGCCAAGGGAAGTTGTGAGGGACTGTGCTATTTGGCCCAGATAGAACTACACATTTCCCATGGTTTTTGCAATCCACAGACCAGGAGATTCCCTCGTGTGCCTACACCACCAGGGCCCTGGGTTTCCAGCACAAAACTGGGTGACTATTTGGGCAGACACAGAGCTAGCTGCAGGAGTGTTTTTTCACACCCCAGTGGCACCTGGAACCCCAGTGAGACAGAATGGTTCACTCCCCTTTAGAGAGGGCTGAAGCCAGGGAGCCAAGTGGTCTCGCTCAGCAGGTCCCAATCCCTTGGAGAACAGCAGGCTAAAAGCCACTGGCTTGAAATTCTCACTGCCAGCCCAGCAATCTGAAGTTGACCTGGGATGATGGAACTTGCTGGGGGGAGGGGCGTCCGCCATTACTGAGGCTTGAGTAGGCAGTTTTCCTCTGACAGTGAAAATACAGTCATGTATCCCTTAACAGGGATACCTTCTGAGAAATGCATTATTAAGTGGTTTCATTGTTGTGTGAAATCATAAAGCATACATACACAAATGTACATGGTACTGCCTACTACACACCGAGGCTACATAGCCTACTGTTGGGTATAGCCTATTGCTCCTAGGCCACAAATCTGTACAGAATGTTGCTGTACTGAATACTGCAGACAATTGTAACACAGTGGTAAGTATTTGTATATCTAAACACACATAAACACAGAAAATGCACAGTATAAAATATGGTATAAAAGATAAAAAATTGTATACCTGTATAGGGCACTTACCATAAATGGAGCTTGAAGGACTGAAAGTTCCTCTGGATGAGTCAGTGAGTGACAGGTGAGTGAATGTGAGGGCCTAGGACATTAGTGTACCCTACTGTAGACTTTATAAACACTGTACATGTAGACTATATTAAATTTATAAAAGATATTTTCTTTTTTCAATTTATTTTATTTTGTTTTTTATTATAGTTTAAGTTCTGGGATACATGTGCAGAACGTGCAGGTTTGTTACATAGGTATACATGTGCCATGGTGCACCTATCAACCCGTCATCTATGTTTTAATAATATTCATTGTGCTATAAATTTCCCTCAACACTGCTTTAGCTGTGTCCCAGAGATTCTGGTACATTGTCTCTTTGTTCTTATTGGATTCAAAGAACTTCTTTACTTCTACCTTAATTTTGTTATTTACCCAGTAGTCATTCAGGAGCAGGTTGTTCGGTTTCCATGTTGTTGTGCAGTTTTGAGTGAGTTTCTTAATCCTGAGTTCTATTTTGATTGCACTGTGGTCTGAAAGATTGTTTGTTATGATTTCTGTTCTCTTGCATTTGCTGAGGAGTGTTTTACTTCCAACTATGTGGTCGATTTTAGAATAAGTGCTATGTGGTGCTGAGAAGAATGTATATTCTATAGATTTGGGGTGGAGAGTCCTTTAGATGTCTATTAGGCCTGCTTGTCCAGAGCTGAGTTCAAGTCCTGGATATCCTTGTTAATTTTCTGTCTCATTGATCTGTCCAACCTGTATTGGGTGCATATATATTTAGGATAATTAGCTCTTTTTGTTGCATTGATCCATCTACCATTATGTAATGCCCTTCTTTGTCTTTATTTATCTTTGTTGGTTTAAAGTCTGTTTCATCAGAGAATAGAATCGCAACCCCTGCTTTTCTTTTTTTTTTTTTTTTTTTTTTTGCTTTTCATTGGCTTGGGAAATATTCCTCCATCCCTTTATTTTGAGTCTATGTGTGTCTTTGCACTTAAGATGGGTCTCCTGAATACAGCACATTGATAGGTCTTGACTCGTTATTCAGTTTGCCAGTCTGTGTCTTTTAATTGGGGCATTTAGCCCATTTACATTTAAGATTTTAAGCCCCGCATGCTTTAGGTATTTCTTCTAATGCTATCCCTCCCCTTGCCCTGCACCCCCTTACAGGCCCCAGTGTGTGATGTTCCCCTCCCTGTGTCCATGTGTTCTCATTGCTCAACTCTCATTTATGAGTGAGAACATGCAGTGTTTGGTTTTCTGTTCTTGCATTAGTTTGCTGAAAATGATGGTTTCCAGCTTCATCCATGTCCCTGCAAAGGACATGAACTCATCCATTTTTATGGCTGCATAGTATTCCATAGTGTATATGGGCCATGTTTTCTTTATCCTGTCTATCACTGATGGGCATTTGGGTTGGTTTCAAGTCTTTGGTATTGTAAATAGTGCTGCAATAAACATACATGTGCATGTGTCTTTATAGTAGAATGATTTATAATCCTTTGGATATATACCCAGTAATGGGATTGCTGGGTCAAATGGTATTTCTGGTTCTAGATCCTTGAGGAATCACCACACTGTCTTCCACAACGGTTGAACTAATTTATACTCCCACCAACAGTGTAAAAGCATTCTTATTTCTTCACATCCTCACCAGCATCTGTTGTTTCCTGACTTTTTAATGATCACCATTCTAACTGGTGTAAGATGGTATCTCATTGTGATTTTGATTTGCATTTCTCTAATGACCAGTGATGATGAGCTTTTTTTCATATGTTTGTTGGCTGCATAAATGTCTCGTTTTGAAATGTATCTGTTCATATCCTTCACCCACTTTTTGATGGGGTTGTTTGTTTTTTTCCTGTAAATTTGTTTAAGTCTCTTGTAGATTCTGCATATTAGCCCTTTGTCAGATGGATAGATTGCAAAAATTTTCTCCCATTCTGTAGGTTGCCTGTTCACTCTGATGATAGTTTCTTTTGTTGAGTAGAAGCTCTTTAGTTTAATTAGATCCAATTTGTCAATTTTGGCTTTTGTTGCCATTGCTTTTGGTGTTTTAGTCATGAAGTCTTTGCCCATGCCTATGTCCTGAATGGTATTAATAGCCTAGGTTTTCTTCTAGTGTTTTTATGGTTTTAGGTCTTATGTTTAAGTCTAATTCATCTTGAGTTAATTTTTGTATAAGGTGTAAGGAAGGGGTCCATTTTCAATTAAATTAAACTTAGGTTACTGTAACCTTTTTATTTTCTAAACTTTTTATTTAAATTTTTAGCTCTTGTAATAACACAATTTAAAACACAAACACATTGAACAACTGCACAAAAAATTTTAAAATATTCTTATTCTATAAGCTTTTGTCTTTTTCTACTTTTCAAACTTTTTGTTAAAAACTAAGGCACAAACACACACATTAGCTTAGGCCTACACATGGTCAGGATCATGAATTTCATTGTCTTCCACCTCCATACCTTTTCCCGCTGGAAGTTCTTCAGGGGCAATGGCACACATTGAACTGCCATCGTCTGTGATAACAATGACTTATTCTGGAATAGCTCCTGAAGAACCTGCCTGAGGGGCTATTTACAATTAACTTTTTTTATAAGTAGAAGGAGTATACTCTAAAACAATGATTTAAAATATAGTAAATACATAAACCAGTAACATAGTCATTTATTATTACAATCAAGTATTATGTACTGTAAATAATTGTATGTTCTATATGACTGGCAGCTTTTCACACCAATGTCACCACAAACATGTGAATAATGTGTTGCACTATGACATTCAATAGCTACTAGGTGATAGGAATTTTTTAGTCTCATGATAACCTTATGAAGCCACTGTAGTATATGCAGCCCTTAATTGATCAAAATGACACGATGCAGTGCATGACTATACCCAATTAAATGTAGTAATTTTAATATTATTTCTAATAATATTAACCATAGGTAGAATAAAATTACATACAAATAACATACACATATGTAGACGTATATAAATATACGAACAGATGCAAATAGAGTCGTGGCATCTGTTCTAAAGGTTTAGTCATGTATCAGGCACAATAATGTAAAACTCATTAGTTGGGTTCAAACTATGTTCTTGACAGTTAAAGTTACCTGTTCAGATGGCTCAAGACTTTAATTAATATTTGTGGAAAGGGCATAAAATGTTTTCTATTTGTCTGTTTATTTCTAAAAGTTTCCTCTTTTTTTCCCTACTTGTGAATGATTTCTCTGATGCTTGCATTTAGAAGATTTAGACATCTCAAAGGCACAGAGGAAGGATGTTATGTTTTCTCCAGGAGTTTTGGGACATATTTGCCTATTATCAGAAGTCAATCTTATTGAGACTGCAGATTACATTTTACGTGAGTGACTGAGGAGACATCCAGTGTATTTCCAATTAGTCTTTCTTCTTTTTATTCTTAGGTGGATGCTTTTACCATAGCTTGGGAGTGTGTATGAGACCAAAAGTTAAATTTAGTTGTTCTACATACCCCTGACTCATTTGAAGATCTAATTTTTTAAGGAAGTTGGTATTGATGAGGTTCAGATGGAAAAGACAAGAGATCAAAGAGGTTAGTAGGTTCAGAATAGTTTTCTATTAGCACACTGCAAAGATTTCCTTAAAGGGCAATTTTCTGAGTCATTCTGTCTTTTGGAATCCTTTGTACACAAATCAAAAAATGTATCTCATTGTATTTGAGCCATTTGGGATTTCCCCGCCCCGCCCTTTTTTTCCTAATGTACTCATAGATAAAAAATTTCATCTACATTAAAACTTTCTCATTGTGGCCACTGTAACTCTAAGTTATCTTCCTGAGATGCACTCATTTCTCTAGAAATGCACAGGTTCTGGGTCCGTAATTTTTAAACCTAAAATGCATTGGAGTTACAGACAGAGGAGTCCCAGACTCCTTAGATTTTGATGAACACATAATTCTCTGTTCTAAAACTCTACTTACCAGAGGCCCTTAACTGGAACCGGTCCAGTTCCTGTTGAAAACACAGTTCAACCTTTGAAATCCAACCCAGATTTTGGTTAGACCTAGTCTGGAAGCTAGTGTACACTACACTGGACCTGGTCCAGTTCCTGTCAATCACTCAGCTCAACCCTGGATCCATTCAGAAACAAAACTTCTCGAATAAACTTAGAGAGCTCAGGATGCAAAATGCAGAGAGCTCAGGATGCAAACGCAGGATGCAAAATACAAAATCTGAGAGGGACTTACCCATAACCTCTAGATGCAGCAAGAAATTAGCACAATGGACTCAGCAAGTACCTATGCCTGGTTACTGACTGCATCTGGGGATTACAAGGGGATCCTTCAGATCTGATTTCTGACACCAAACTGGTAAAAACCAAGGCACAACAAAATTTTCAAGTTTATTTGAGTAACAAGCAATTCATGAATTGGTAAACACACAAACCAAAAGAGGTTCAGCACGCTGATGACAAAGCATCAGAGGCAAGTATCTATAGGATGAATGCAGAAGCAGAATTTAAAAATTATTTGATTGGTTGCTGTTATGAATTTACCTTTTCTCTTTACCTTGCTGGAAAGTTCATAGTCACATAATCATATGTTGATTGGCTGCTTATGAATGACTGAGATTAGGTTTTGTTTCTGTCTAAGAAAGACAGAAATGACTCAAGTTAAATTAGTTTACCAGAAATAACCCAAGTTAAGTTTTGCTTATGTTTTGAATTTAAGCAACATTAAAGCTATTTTTAATGCCTAGTTGGTTGGTTTTGTTTGCTCAGAACATTTTCAGGCCCACTCTCCACTTTAATTTTGCTTTAACAAGATGAATGTTGATGTTGAATTATTTAGCTGTGCCAAAGTGTCTGTTATAAATGCAGTATCACTAATTCTCTTAAGTTCTCTGAGTCACAGATAAAGAGCCTGGGATGACATTTCTTGTCATCCCTTTCCCCATATGGACCATATGACAGTCAGCCAACAAGAGGCACTCAGGTGAGATTTGGGAGGTGGATGAGAAAGAAGGAGAATCATTCTCTGGCAGTGACAGCAAAGACACAATGGGTGAACCACAGATGCATGTTACAGCAAAGGAGCATCTGAAAGCCACCAGCTCCGTGCACCAATGAGCTTCCCCAGGCCTGTGCATCCCCAGCTCTCCAAAGCATGTGACAGTCTCTAGTTCCCTGGATGGAAAGTACATCCTACTTTTAATACCTAAATGTGCTTCAGTTTTCCTAATTGACTCCTCTGTATCAGCAGAGGAACATGAAATGCTCTTTGGAAAACATGGAGGCAACATAATTTTCAGAAATAACAGACCCCAGTAGTCCTGGGTTATAAAATATGAAAATGAGACTACTTATATCACAAGGGATTTGTGCCAAATATCTAGCTAAAATTCTTATTTGACAAGTGTAAAATACTTTAAGATAATCTATACCACTAATTCATATTTTTGTCTTGAATTTACATACCTCACAAATTTTGAATATTTTGAGACTAAACATTGCCAAAGTCTTTGTAAGACAGTGTCTTACATCACACTTCTCATCTAGTGCTCAAGAAAAATACTTGTGAATTTTCCAATGTTAGCTCAATTAGTCTTTGTTATTATTTAAAAAGTCTTGCCTCTGTGGGCATTTTTTGGTGCCTTAATGGAAGACTTTTCATGTTTCCTATACATTTAATTTTTTAAGTTTTTTTCTGCCACGTTTTCCAACAAAATTTTCTGTAACTGAAGTAATAATTTATTGTACCTTCTCTCCAACTAAAAATGTTGTTTTGTGTGTGTGCAATAATCCAAGTTTTATTGCTGTCAGTCATAAGCTCAGATCCTGTTAAAACATCTTTAGTTTTTCGTTGTTGGATGTTTAATTCTGGCTCCAGGTGACTAACTTTGTCAATTCTGTTTTTGATTGTTGAGAGAAAGCTTTTTATCAAGCACCCTATGTATCTGCTGAAAATGTCTCTTCATAATAGTACACTCCATTATCTTTCCATTTTTTTAACACAACAAAAAAGGTGTGTGTTTTCTTTTGCTGTACTGTGGCGTATTATAATTACTATTAATCATGAAATTTGCAACATGTCTTCTGCTAATCTATAGTTCTCTTTCCTGTTCTAATTGTAGCACTAGCTTAATCATCTCCATTCAATTCTGCATCAGCATTATACCTTCACTTCAAAATTAAAACTTGGCTATACTTATTTTAAGCTAAAAAGTAATTTAATTGTATTATAAATAAAATAATAATTAGCATTTAATTTTAATTATCATTAACAATATAGATAGGTGTAACTATAACTCATGCTATCTACATAAAATATTCAAATAAAGATATTGTGTCCTGATAAAAAATTATTCAAATTGAATCAATCCATTGACACTGACTAGATCAGGGATATATTTATACATGGTGCTGAAAACAATCCATGTGGCAACACATTTGCAGTCCAATACAGATACATCTCTATTTTCAGATTTTTTCTTTTACTTCTTTTTTTTTTTTTTTAAGAGATGGGGTTCCACCATGTTGCCCAGGCTGGTCTTGAAATCCTGGGCCAATTATCCTCCAGTGTTAGCCTCCCAAAGTGCTGGAATTACAAGCGTGAGCCACCATGCCTGGCTCAGATGCTTCTCAACTTACAACAGAGTTACGTCCTGATAAACCCATTGTAAGGTGAAATATTGAAAGTCTAAAATGCACTCAATAAACCTAACCTGCTGGTCATTATAGCTTGGCAACAGTACACTGTAGGGTAGCAGTTGTTTACCAGAGTAATCGCGTGCTGACTGGGAGTTGCAGCTCACTGCCACAGCTGAGCTTCGTGAGAGGGTGTCACATGGCTTTCTACTGCATGCACAGAACTTTCATATCATCATCAAGTCAAGAAATCCTAAGTCAAACCCTCATAAGTCAGGGATGATCTGTAATATCTTAAGTGAGGCAACAGTTAGAGGTAAAGGTATTTCCACCAAAATAGTAAAGTTGTGTTTCATGGTAAAATATTTTACACTGTTTCAAAATTTAAAAGTAATGACAACTGAATAAAATTTAAAATTTAGTTTCTCAGGTGTACCCCTATATATTAAGTGCTCAGTAGCCACATGTGGATAATACCTACCTTATTGGATACTGTCGTTTCTAGAAAATATTCAAACGTGGAATTTTAATACACACTTCTACATAATCCATGAGTGAAAAAAGACAGCACAAGAAATATAGAAAGTATTTTAAAAGAACGATAGTGAAAATAGAATATTTTAAAATGTGGGCCAGGCGTGGTGGCTCATGCCTGTAATTTCACCACTTTGGTAGGCTGAAGCAGGAGGATTGCTTGAGCTCAGGAGTTTGAGACCAGCCTGGACAACAAAGTGAGACCCCATCTCTACAAAAACTAAAAAATTAAGCTGGGTGTGGTGATGCATGCCTGTGGTCCCAGGTACACAGGAAACTCAGGTGGGGGAATTGCTTGAGCCTAGGAGGTTGAGGCTTCAGTGAGCCATGATCATGCCACTGCACACCAGCCTGGGCAACAGAGCAAGATCCTGTCTCAAAAAAAAAAAAGATAAAAATGTGTGAGATACAGATAAACATGCACAGAAGGACATTTTATATCTCTATATTTATATGTTCGAAAAGAAGAATTTTTAGTAAGGTAAAGGATATTGTAGGTAACATGTTGTAGAGGCTTTGGATATTATATCTTCTGCAGAATATTGAGTTTGTTCCAACGGGCACTTAAATTACTGGTGGATCGCTTTTGCCTTGGGAAGGCTTGATTTTAGACATCATTAGCAAGGGTTTGCTTTAATTTGCTCTTCCTTCTAGGGCAAGTCTCTCAGTGCTGAGATGCAGTACTTACTCCTAAAATATGATCCTTTTGGTATTTCAGTGGAAATATACAAGTTTACCAAGGTCTTCTAACTTGATGGACTGGAACTTGCAATTCTCTTTGCTACTGTGGGCAACTGCTGACATCTCTGATCAGCTCTTTCAACCTCCACAGAAGTTTTCCTGGGATCCTCTGGAGAGTGCCCTGTGCTTGTACAGTTCAGGGTCAGCCAAGGATTTGAAGGGAGAAATGCAGAGCTTTTGGTACCCAGCCCGCAAATCCCCACCACTCCATCTCCCCGCTCTGCAGCTCTTTTATTTTGGGGAGCTCCCATGTAAATTTTTACCTGCTCTGGTTGTCCCAGGCTCCACCCTCCCACCCTCCAGGCCACTGTGAACATCTGGTGTGTGCCATGTCTGCATCCACACGACTGAATACTGCCTTAATGTGAAAAGTCACACCAAGATGAGACTAGTGTGGTCCCCTCATCTTAGGGGTCAGGTTCTCTGCATGAGTGTCTACCTGCATTTAGCCATTTCCCATGCCTTCAAAGTTATTTTCTTAGTATTATAATTTTGAATTTTCTATGCACTTTATAAATGTTATCACAAAAAGGTTAGAGGCTGGAATCTTTCTGTAACACTCCACACCTGCTTTGATCCACCAAGGAGGAAAAACCCTGTACTGACTTAGCTCAAATTCTCCAAATCCCTGTTTTTCATCCTTCACTTTAGTGTAGAGATATTTTTAACAAACTCTAAAAGCTGCTATTATCACAGCTTTGGCCAAGACAACCCTCTCTCATCACCATCACCCCCCACCACTAATTTCTTACTGGTTGATAGACTAGAGTTTCTAGAACATACCCACACATGCTTTCCCCATTCTCCTCTGAAGCTGAAAGAGTGAGAGCTATGCAGAGACATCTATCCCTATTCCTGAAATGTCATGGGAGATATCTTTCCTGGTGCTTAGCAATAAAAGAGAGAAAACACCATATTTGAGGTAAATAAAAACAACATTTAATGAATGACATGTTTTGAGTGCCTTGCCAGTTAGTCGCTGAATGGATCTCATTTGGTCAAATGCTTGTGTTTTCTATTATGACATTACTTAAGCTAATAGAGTTAAAATAATAGCATCAAAATTTACAAAATTATCTCCTATCTGAATGAAAATGCAAATGATTCTAACTTTTACTTCAGTAGCTCTGGAGTTTCAAGTCTGTTCACTTAGAAATAAAATGGCCTTAATTAACTTATACTTGAACTACCAATTCCCTCAAACTTAACATAAATGTAAGACATTGCCAACTAGAATACCAATATGATTTTGGGGGGAAATTACAGAATGATTTTAACTCTCACATAGAAGAAAAAAATGCCTGAGAATAACAAGGTAAATATAAAAATGAAGACTGAGGCAAAAATTGGCTCCCACATTATAGTCAAAGCCACTGTAATCAAATCAATATTTTATTCATACAGGAGTAGAAAAGTAGAAGACATGAACAGAAATAAAAATTCTGACCAAATCTTAAGGAGTGTGAATGAGAACTGAATGTATGATAAATGTTGCATGTTCAGTTCAATGGGAAATTGATCGCTTATTTAATAAGTGATTGTGGCACAAAGGCTGTCTTCAGCAAACACCAAATAACTCTGTGCTCTGCTTTGAGACACTTTTCTGAATCTGTTAGCAAGAGAAATGCTGAAGCTTTCTCAGATGTCTGCTGTGTCTAGGGAAGATGGGGGATGGCTTCAGAGCAAGAGGCCACAGGTCGGCTGTGAGCATCTGTGTCTAGCTGTTGAGCATCTCCAACAGTGGATGAGTGTCCAGGTAGACCTGAGGCTGTGCCCTGAGATTTCTGATCATCTCCCAGCACTGTCTCCACCAGCTGTACTTCCCGCCCCTCTCGGGAGAAACTAGCTAAAGGCCCCCTGCTACGCAGCTTGAAGAAAGGAAAAGAGGAATATATTGGGGAGCAGTTTCCCCAATGCCTCCTATTATCTTCCCAAATGTCGGTCAACTCCCCAGGAGCATCTTGGACCTCAAAGGAGGTGGGGTGCACCCGGGGCACATCAGTCTCCTCTTGCTGGCAGGCAGCTTCCTATCCGAGGCCTGAGACAGGATGACATCCTACTCCCTTCTCATCCTGTCCAGTATCAGTACTTATAAACCCCGTCTGTAGGAACAGCCTTCCAGGAAAACATCATGGGCTTCAGAGTTCTCCCATAAACCAGGCAGGCTGCCTCGCAAGATGTTTAAGTCACTCTACTGCTTCCTTTGCAGGCCCCCTTTCTTCCCTGCCTCCTTGCATTGGACCCCCACAAATACTTTGCTAGGGAACCCGTTTGCACACGCAGACACCCCATCCACATGCTCCCATTATCAAGGGAGAAGGGAGGGGTGGCAGTGAAGGGCGAGGCAGGTTGAAAGTAGTCTGTGCCTTCTAGGAGCAGAAGGCAAATATCATGAGGGGCCATGAAACCCATGGAAAAAGGGGAAGTAACAGATGCAAGTCATCTCTAATCTAAGTCTACCTTGGTGGGGTGGTGTGACCTCCTCTGCCCAAGTCCACTTGCATCCCTAGGGGCTTCCATGTTCTGTAGCCAGGGCAAGGGACCACCTACTTGACCACAGTCTGACTTCTTGGATACCCTGCCCCAAACTTCTCCCATCATTCCCACTAGGAAGTTCCAACGGGGCTTGTTTGTTACAGCTCAAGAGTGAATAAAAGGGCTGCTCCTCCTGCCTCCATCCCTGTTCCTGCTTGCTCTCCTCCCAGCCCAGTCTCCAACCCTCCCCACCCAGTCTCCAACCCTCCCCATGTCTCAGCACCACTGCCATGTTCCAGCCACCAGACACAACAGGCACCTTAAACCATCATGGTGTGGGGAGAGATGAGAAGTCATCTGGTCAACAGCTTGCATGGAGTTGCCGCACCAAACGTGACTGCATGACTCCAATGCAGTCAAAAGCTGTGGAAGTTACACAGAAGTAAAAGATACAGGCCTGCCCTCAAGAAACTTTGGTTCTATCAGAGTATAGACAAGTAACTCATGAAAGGCAATGCAATGAGATAGAAGGTCCAATAGGAAGACAGCGTGCTGTTGGGGCACAGAGGAGGGAGGACCCAGATGTTCTGGAAGAAGGAATGAAGGAACTGGAATGTGATCTGGGCATGCTGGACCCTGTCCTCAAGCCCCATGCCCCTCTTCCTACACCAGACGTCATGACCTGGAGACTGGGAAGCACTCCATGGGATGGAAAGAGAAACAGAGGGCTGGACACAGGGGGGTGCAAAGGCTGATGGTGTCCTTGGCTCAAGTCCAGCACAGGCTCAAAGGTCAGCCTTCCCCAGCAGGCATCTGTGGGCTTCCTCAGATTCCTTCTGGATCTGGGACAGTCCTTCCAGCCAAGACTCCTCACCAGGCACGTCCTCAGAGCCTTGGCCCTGGCTTACTTGCCTTTCCTGTAGTTCTTTCAGCCGAAAGTTTTGCTGGGTATATTGGTAAGCCTTGTTGCTGTAATAATCTCCTTCGTTTTCCCACATAATGGCTTCAACTTTCTCCATGAGCTCTCGCAGTTGGGCCTCCTGCTCCTCCCCCTGTGCCCTGTTGTTGAAGCCGCAATGGCGCCGTGCAAGGGTCACATCCAGCCAGGCAAGGGCCTGGTTGTTGGTCTCTCGCACATAGTCTTCCAGGGAGCCGCCAGCCAGGTCTTCCTTCCGGGTGAACACCAGGATGGTGTGACCCAGAACCCCCACTCCAAAGACCTCCTGCAGGCGCCTGACCACCTGCTGATCCTCATCCGTGAACCGGCCCAGTTGTGTCACCAGGAGCACGGCGTGGGGCCCTGGGGCGGATAAGACGATGGCTTGGCAGATAGCGTCTGCCACCTCTGGCGAGACCTGGGGGGACAGAATGTTGGGTGTGTCAATCACCTCAAGCTCCTTCCCAGCCCACTCTCGGCTCCGTCTCTGGGAGGTCTTGGTCACGGGTCTGGTGCTGAGTTTAGACTCGAAGACGTCCCTGCCGAGGATGCTGTTTCCTGTTGCACTCTTCCCACTCCCTGTTTTCCCCATGAGAATGAGCCTCAGTCTCCTTGGGGTCTTCTGTTCTTTCTCCCTTAGACCTAGAAATATCCAAAGAAAGCAGAGGGAACTGGGGTAAGGGCCCATGTACCCCATCTTGTCATCACCAGGAGCCTCTGGGTGTACCCCCAGACTGCAGGGGCAGATTGTAAAAGACCAACATCTGCCCTGAAACCAGCGCTGGGCCACCATTCTGGGCCCACATCCTTGAAGGTGGGGCTGAACGTTCTCTCCCAGTGCAAGAGCAGAGCCTAGAAAGAAGAGCGAGACTTGGCCAATAGAACACCAAGAAACCCAATACCAAGGTTTTTAGATATGACTGGGGAAGAAGGCAGGAAGGGAATTCCCTTCTCCTGGCCTTGCGGGTCCCAAGACCCAGAGCACATAAAGAAGTGACAAGTAATAGCTGGTTTCCCAGTCTTGTCCCCACTGAAGACATTGATGTATCTCAGATGACAAAGCATGAAGCTGGCATGTGGCAGCATGGGCGTGGCCATCTCCTGAATCTCCTGGGCACCAACAGGCCTTGCTGTGGCCTGACAGCCACCCTTGGCTCTGACCCACGTGCCAATTCTAACTGAGTGACATTGGGCCCCCTCCAGCTTCCCCAAGGTGGCTGGAAGGAATTTGAATGAATGGGCAGAAGTCTGGGCAGTAGATCTTCATCCCCACCCACCTAGCCCAGTGCAGAGCCAGAGGAGACAGGAACCCCCATCTGAGCAGCCTGGAGCTAGCACACACCACTGGACTTTACTAAAGCCAAATGCATCACTTGAGCTCTGGAGAGGATTCTTAAAAGAATAGCTAACCTTGATTGCTATAACAAAAGGTCAAACAGGTGTTACACAGGTATTGGTAATGTCCCTATTGTAGTAGGTTAACGTGGCTTTTTCCAGATGGCTCAGGCCATTTAAGTTCATAAAGTAAAAGGTCATTCATATTAAAATACATAATGAATCACAAATCATTTCTTCTGGCCAGGAAAGGGCTGGGTTTCCAGCATTTGTAAATCCTGCCTCCCCAGGATGAATGACGAAGTTGAGCCCATGAAAGTTAAGCGCCTGACCCTGTGCAATGGCTTTTGGGAAAGGGACGCCCTCGATAAGGCAGAGCCCAGATCTGAGGCAGCAGCCAAGTACATTCTGCTTGTGCACAAGGCGCTTTCAAACTTACAACTGTGACAGCTCCACTTCGGAGTCAGCCAAACACCCATACAGGGTCTGTTGGCATCCAAGCCTCAGTCCAAGGCCACTTATTTTCGTCACACGCACTGTCAGCACATCCATCCTGAGGAAGAACATCTACCATGTGAAAGCATTTCCTTTGGGACTGGCATGGTGATTTAGTCATTGGTGCTATTTCTCGCCTCCTTTTATCTACCATACCTATCCAGGGGTCTTTTTTCTTATTTTTGGCTAGTGATAAGAAGGGCCCTACCCCAAAGGCCTCTGATGGTGGCTGAGGCGGGTAAATTTCTGTGACTGGGGGACGTCAGCTTCCTCTCCAAGCACACTATGGTGGTGGAGCTGTGTCCCACCTGCACCCCAAATGTTTCCCACTTGCTCCCCTCTCCTCATTCATTTTACCTCCTGACAGCTCCAGCACAGGATCCTGGGACAGCTCTTCTGGGGGATTCTCCTGGGGAATTTGTTCATATTCTTCTTCCTCCATCTACAAAAAAAAAAAAAAAAAAAAAATCATATGTTCTACTGACTTTCCAAATGAGTTTCAACAGCCACCTGCCTTTCGCCTTTCTCTTGCCAGAGGAAAGTTTTTTGCATTAGTTTAGGGTTGGGGTGGGACTGAGTGAGGCAATGGAAGAAGGGGTCTAAGACACTCTCTGCTGGCTTTAGGGACCCTATTTCTTTAGGGATGCTATCCCTCGCCCCCTTCATTGTGGTCTCCATCATAAGTTTAAGAGATTTTACAGATAAAGGTGCAACTGGCCTGGGAGCTGAGGAATGGATGAAATTTGGATAGACAAAGGGTCTGGAACTGTTCTGGGAGGTGGGGGGAGGTGGAGGAAGGGAAGAAGGAGGAGGTGGAGGAAGGGAAGCACAGAAGCAGGTGTGATTCTGATCCTGTGTTCCCTGGGAGCAGCAGGAAGGCCTGGTGTGCCTGGAGGACGTGAATGAGTAGGATGTTGTTGGGAGGGGCCACTTGGTGGGCCTTGGGGCCAGACTTTGGAGAAGACTGTGCAGTGAGGGTTACAGAGGACTGGGATTGCAGGGGCTGAGCTGGGAAGGAAGCCAGAGACCTCAGGGGAGAAGCAGCCACCAGTTAGCTCTGTCTGGGCCTCAGCATCCCATCAGTAAGAATGTTGGGCCTGAACTAGATGCCTGTGAATGTCTCTTCCCCTATTAAGGTCTCAACATACTTCATAACATTTTTTAGAGCAATTCTTAGTCCTTTTTGCAAATTAGGGCCACATCATTCCCAACCAGGAACTCCTGTCCCCTTTCCCATGACAGCAATGTGTCCTGGCTTCATAGACTAACACAGTTCTCTGTGCCAAGATCCCATAAGGTTCTCTCTGCTGGATTTTCTCTGTGGGACTGAGGAGGAAGTTGCATGGTCCATGACTGTTTTTCCAGATCATGTAGGACATTCACAACCAGATGAAACAGATCCAGATGAAGGGTCTGGGGTGTGGGGAAACCTAAGTCCAGGGGAACCTGATAGACATGTTTTTCTCATTGCCACATTGTTAGATGTTTGTTCTATTCTGTTCACCTGGCAAACACTCCAGTCCTCCCCAGATCCCAGAAGTATATATGCGGATATTGCTTTATGATTGGTAAAGATCAATTTTGCAGTGCTGGGCTGGGCATGGAGGGAGTCCAGGAAGGTCTGTTGACTTTCTAGGAAGAAAGAAGAAGCAGGCCAGGCGGACAGCCTTACTCAGACCTGAACAGCCAGATTCTGGAAGGAGTACAATATTTCACCTACCAAAGGGAGTTAGTTCTTCCTAACTGGTGGCCTCTCAATCTCTTTGTCCCTGGCTTCCTTACATCCCTGGTGGAAATTGAGGCAGCACTTTACCAATGTAATCTCATTCCTCCTTTAGAGAGAACGGGCAGGCAGCTTAACAGGAAACAACAGCCGGGTGGGACTAGGCTGTGGCATGCAGGAACCTGCACTGTGCCTTCGCAGGGTTCGGGGAATGGGTCTGCACGCAAGGCACCTCCCTGCCTCCTCCTAGACCCTCCCCGGAATGGCACCTCCCATGTTGGCCACAGTGTGCATTGTCTCCAACACAGAAGATGGAACAGATAGTACCATCCTTGTCATATTGCTCTGGAAGAAAGCAAAACTCAGAGAAGCATCTTGCCAAATATTAAACAGTGACTTTGTCACAAGGCAAAAAGTTCTCCAGACGTGTTGGTCACAGCTCTTTTTATCACATTACAAACCTGCACACACCACAGCACACACAAATACACAACACACACACATACACAAAACACATGTACCACTCACACACATGCAGGTGAACACACAAACACATACACAAACACAAATATACATACACAACACACACACAACACTCACATACACACACAACACAAACATCACACACACAAACATCACTCACACACATTCATGTTAACACATACAAACATGTAAACACACATGTACAACACAAACACCCACACATACACATCCAAATATGACACGCACAAATACTCAGACTTACCTCTGCACCAGCTCACAGGCAAGAGAAAGGACCACGTTTCTGGTCTCCCGGCCACGCACTCTCACGGAGGAGGCAGAGAAAAGCTTCCACAGTGTATGAACACAAGGAGGACAAGGCCGATGTTTGCTTATATTTTCAGCAAAATGTTTTCAGAGAGCTGGGCTGGAGACCTGCCCTTGAAAGAGCAGTGTCCGCTGGAGATGGAGGAACAGGAAGTGGGTAGGAGCACCGGCCTTCCTGAGTCAGAAGAGTCTGCTGTTGCACTTTGCAGCCTCGGAAGTAGAAAAAGGGAGGATACCAGTGGTGGGATTATTTTTATCCTGAGCCAGGATAACTAGAACTCAGAGCTTAAAAAGAGGCAGATGCCTCAGAAAGATTTGTGTCAGGAGGAGTGACTTTCCCTGATCTCTCTTTTCTGAACCCCACCTCTTCCCCAGGGAACTTCTATGCCTCAGTATTGGGGCAAACAGTCATTGTCTCCTTTCTTCCCCAACCTCTCCTTCCTTTAATAGTTTCTCTCAGGACAAGGTCTGACACTCATTACCTCTAAGGCATGAATCATTGGTAATTACAATTGTTACAGCTTCTAGAAGATCTGCACTATAAGAAAAGGGAAAATACAAAAGAATGTCTAAAATGTAGGATTAAAGAGAGCACTTGTTATGGGGGAAGAACAATATTTTAAACACAGGCCAAGGGAGAAAACACCTCAGCATCCTCAAAAACATGTTTTCTAGGACTTTACTGACAGATCTGATAACTGTGGCTAAAGGGAAGCCATTGAAGGAAGAAATTCAGAACATAGGAGCATAGGTGATGATATTGTTACCACATGATTTTAAAATGTTAAGATTCCCTAAAAAAATTCCACTCAATCTACTATAATAGTTCTAATTTTCTTTGGTTCTGTTCTGGTTGATAATCATGGTGTATTTATTAAAATTGTTACATAGTATGTGTGTGTGTACATATATATATCTTTTAATGTTCTACTTAAATTATTCTGTAAATACCCTGACACAATTAATTTTTTTTTTTTGAGACAGAATGTCATCCTGTCACCCAGGCTGGAGTGCAGTGGTGTGATCTCAGTTCACTGCAACCTCATCCTCCCAGGTTCAAGCGATTCTCATGCCTCAGCCTCCCAAATAGCTGGAATTACAGGCGTCCGCACACCCGGCTAATATTTTGTATTTTTAATACAGACGGGGTTTTACCATGTTGGCCAGGTTGGTCTCAAACTCCTGACCTCAAGTTATCTGCCCACCTCGGCCTCCCAGAGTGTTGGGATTATGGGCGTGAGCCACCGCGCCTGGTGTAACATGATTAATTCTTTTTTTTTTTTTTTTCTCGAGACGGAGTCTCGCTCTGTCGCCCAGGTTGGAGTGCAGTGGTGCGGTCTTGGCTCACTGCAAGTTCCACCTCCTGGGTTCACGCCATTCTCCTGCCTCAGCCTCCTGAGTAGCTGGGACTCCAGGTGCCCACCACCACGCCCAGCTAATTTTTTGTATTTTTAGTAGAGATGGGGTTTCACTGTGTTAGCCAGGATGGTCTCGATCACCTGACCTCATGATCTGCCCACCTCGGCCTCCCAAAGTTCTGGGATTACAGGTGTGAGCCACCACGCCCAGCCACTTAATTAATTCTTAAAAGTCATGTGTTGATCTTTACCATTCCATTGCCTAAGTGTTTAGAAAGTATTTAGAATGTTATTACTCCACCCATAATTGAAATTAACCATCTATTTTGAATTTTAATCATTTCCATCTTCTGCAAGCTGACTCTGGAGAGTTGCCCAGACCTGCAGTTGACTGAGCCAGGGATCAATCAGCTCAGCGTTTAGCCATGAGAATTGGGAAGTGTTTGTTACTGCAAGGTAATCTGGCCTAATCTAATTGATACAGCATATAAATCTGATGTTGGTTCTTTTGGTTTGTTTTTTATTTTTTGCTGACTCTCACTTTTGGTGATTTCTTTTCTGGAATTACATTCACAGTCTTTGATTGTGAACTTAAGTATGGAAATCCTTGGGATTGAAATCAAGGTGGCTTTACTCCAGAGAAGATTTGTGTACATTTTTATCAGGAACTGACAAGGGGGTGCTGGTACTACTAAACTGAGACCACTTCAACCCCATTTTCAGATTTCTGGCTTAATCCAGAAATTCCTCAATCTACAACTCACTTTACAACTGATTCCAAATTTAGGCTCCAGAGAGTATGGCTGAGAGCTTCATTTGCTCTTGGGGCAACCAATCTTCCCTTTGAGTTTATGGCTCTACTCCTGTTTCAGTTTATTTATTTATTTACTTATGTATTTATTTGGTTATTTAAAAAAATTTTGCCCACATGGTGTTATCCCTCACTTCCTGCAAGCCAAATAATGTAGTCCATTGTTTTGTTGAGGGAGGACTTCTCTATGCTAACACAGCATATTTACAAAGAATGTAATTCACAATCTCTGTTATGATCTTGTTTCTTTTTTTATTATTATTATACTTTAAGTTCTGGGGTACATGTGCAGAACGTGCAGATTTGTTACATAGGTATACACGTGCCATTGTGGTTTGCTGCACCCATCAACCCATCCTCTACATTAGGTATTTCTCCTAATGCTATCCCTCCCCCAGTCCCCCATTCCACAACAGGCCCCGGTGTGTGATGTTCCCCTCCCTGTTCCATGTGTTCTCATTGTTTGATTCCCACCTGAGTGAGAACAGGCAGTGTTTGGTTTTCTGTTCTTTTGTTAATTTGCTGAGAATGATGGTTTCCAGCGTCATCCATGTCCCGGCAAAGGACATGAGCTCATTCTTTTTTATGGCTGCATAGTATTCCATGGTGTATATGCACCACATTTTCTTTATCCCGTCTATCATTGATGGGCATTTGGGTTCATTCCAAGTCTTTTCTATTGTGAACAGTGCCACAATAAACATAGGTGTGCATGTGTCTTTATAGTAGAATGATTTATAATCCTTTGGGTATATACCCAGTAATGGGATTGCTGGGTCAAATGGTATTTCTAGCTCTAGATCCTTGAGGAATCGCCACACTGTCTTCCACAATGGTTGAACTAATTTACACTCCCACCAACAGTGTAAAAGCGTTCCTATTTCTCTACATCCTCTCCAGCATCTGTTGTTTCCTGACCTTTTAATGATCACCATTCTAACTGGCGTAAGATGGTATCTCATTGTGGTTTTCATTTGCATTTCTCTAATGATCAGTGATGATGACCTTGTTTTCATATGTTTTTTGGCTGCATAAATGTCTTGTTTTGAGAAGTGTCTGTTCATATCCTTCACTCACTTTTTGATGGGGTTGTTTGTTTTTTCTTGTAAATTTGTTTAAGTTCTTTGTAGATTCTGGATATTAGCCCTTTGTCAGATGGATAGATTGCAAAAATTTTTTCCCATTCTGTAGGTTGCCTGTTCACTCTGATCATAGTTTCTTTTGCTGTGCAGAAGCTCTTTAGTTTAATCAGATCCCATTTGTCAATTTTGTCTTTTGTTGCCATTGCTTTTGGTGTTTTAGTCATGAAGTCTTTTTTCATGCCTATGTCCTGAATGATAATGCCTAGGTTTTCTTCTAGGGTTTTTATGATTTTAGGTTTTAGGTTTAAGTCTTTAATACATCTTGAGTTAATTTTTGTATAAGGTGTAAGGAAGGAGTCCAGTTTCAGTTTTCTGCATATGGCTAGCCAGTTTTCCCACTACCATTTATTAAATAGGGAATCCTTTCCCCATTGCTTGTTTTGGTCAGGTTTGTTGAAGATCAGATGGTTGTAGATGTGTGGTGTTATTTCTGAGGCTTCTGTTCTGTTCCATTGGTCTATATATCTGTGTTGGTATCAGTACCATGCTGTTTTAGTTACTGTAGACTTGTAGTATACTTTGAAGTCAGGTAGCGTGATGCTGTACTACAAGTCTACAGAACTTTGTTCTTTTTGCTTAGGATTCTCTTGGCTATGCAGGCTCTTTTTTTGGTTCCACATGAAATTTAAAGTAGTTTTTTCTAGGTCGGTGAAGAAAGTCAATGGTAGCTTAATGGAAATAGCATTGAATCTACAAATTACTTTAGGCAGTATGGCCATTTTCACAATATCGATTCTTCCTATCCATGAGCATGGAATGTTTTTCCATTTGTTTGTGTCCTCTCTTATTTCCTTGAGCAGTGGTTTGTAGTTGTTCTCCCTGAAAAGGTCATTCACATCCCTTGTAACTTGTTTCCTAGGTATTTAATTTTCTTCATAGCAATTGTGAATGGGAGTTCACTCACGATTTGGCTTTCTGCTTGTCTATTATTAGTGTATAGGAATGTTTGTAATTTTTGTACATTGATTTTGTATCCTGAGATTTTGCTGAAGTTTTTTTATTAGCTTAAGGAGTTTTGGGGCTGAGATGAGGGGTTTTCTAAATATACAATCATTTCATCTGCAGAGACAATTTGACTTCCTCTCTCCCTATGTGAATACCATTTATTTCTTTCTCTTGCCTGATTGCTCTGGTCAGAACTTCCAATACTATGTGAATAGGTATGGCGAGAGAGGGTATCCTTGTCTTGTGCCAGTTTTCAAAGAGAATGCTTCCAGCTTTCGCCCATTCAGTATGATATTGGCTATGGGTTTGTCATAAATAGCTCTCATTATTTTGAGATATGTTCCATTAATACCTAGTTTATTGAGTGTTTCTAATATGAAAGGGTGTTGAATTTTATCGAATGCCTTTTCTGCATCTATTGATATAATCATGTGGTTTTTGTCATTGGCTTTGTTTATGTGATGGATTACATGTATTGATTTGTGTATGTTGAACCAGCCTTGCATCCCAGGGATGAAGCCAACTTGATCGTGGTGGATAAGATTTTTGATGTGCTGCTGGATTTGGTTTGGCAGTATCTTATTGAGGATTTTCACAATGATGTTCATCAGGGATATTGGCCTGAAATTTGTGTGTGTGTGTGTGTGTGTCTGTTTCTGCCAGGTTTCAGAATCAGGATGACTCTGACTCATAAAATGAGTTAGGAAGGGGTCCCTCTTTTTCTATTGTTTGGAATAGTTTCAGAAGGAATGGTACCAGCTCCTCTTTGTATCTCTGGTAGAATTTAGCTGTGAATCCTTTTGGTCCTGGGCTTTTTTGGTTGGCAAGCTATTAATTACTGCCTCAATTTCAGAACTTCTTGTTGGTCTATTCAGGGATTCGACTTCTTCCTGGTTTAGTCTTATCCATTTCTTCTAGATTTTCTATTTTATTTGCATAGAGCTTTTTATAGTATTCTCTGGTGGTAGTTTGTATTTCTGTGGGATCAGTGATGATATCCCCTTTATCATTTTTTATTGTGTCTATTCGATTATTCTCTCTTTTCCTCTTTATTATTCTGGCTACTGTTCTATTTTGTTAATGTCTTCAAAAAAAAAAAAAAAACCAGCTCCTGGATTCATTGATTTTTTTAAGGGTTTTTCGTGTTTCTATCTCCTTCAGCTCTGGTCTGATCTTAGTTATTTCTTGTCTTGTGCCAGCTTTTGAATTTGTTTGCTCTTGTTTCTCTAGTTCTTTTAATTGTGATGTTAGCGTGTTGACTTTAGATCTTTCCCACTTTCCGATGTGTGCATTTAGTGCTATAAATTTCCCTCTGAACGCTGCTTTAGCTATGTCCCAGAGATTATGGTACATTGTGTCTTTGTTCTCATTGGTTTCAGAGAACTTTGTTATTTCTGCCTTAATTTCGTTATTTACCCAGTAGTCATTCAGGAGCAGGTTGTTCAATTTCCATGAACTTGTGCAGTTGGGTGAGTTTCTTAATCCGGAGTTCTAATTAGATTTCAGTGTGGTCCAAGAGACTGTTTGTTATGATTTCCATTCTTTTGCATTTGCTGAGGAGTGTTTTAGTTCTAATTAGGTGGTCAATTTTAGAATAAGTGCTATGTGGTGCTGAGAAGAATGTATATTCTGTAGATTTGGGGTGGGGAGTTCTTTAGATGTCTATTAAGTCCTCTTTGTCCAGAGCTGAGTTTAAGTCTTGGATATTCTTATTAATTTTCTGTCTTGTTGATTTGTTTAATATTGACAGTGGGGTGTTAAAGTCTCCCACTATTATTGTGTGGGAGTCTTAAGTGTCTTTGTAGGTGTCTAAGAACTTGTTTTATGAATCTGGGTGCTCCTGTATTGGGTGCATATACATTTAGGATAATTAGCTCTTCTTGTTGCATTGACCCCTTTACCATTACGTAATGCCCTTCTTTGTCTTTTTTGATCTTTGTTGGTTTAAAGTCTGTTTTATCAAAGACTAGGATTGCAACCCCTGCTTTTTTTTTGCTTTTCGTTTGCTTGGTAAATCTTTCTCCATCCCTTTACTTTGAGCCTATGTGTGTCTTTGCACATAAGAATACAGCACACTGATAGGTCTTGACTCGTCATTCAATTTTCCACTCTGTGTCTTTTAATTGGGGCATTTGGCCCATTTACATTTAAGGTTAATATTGTTATGTGTGAGTTTGATACTATCATCATGATACTAGCTGGTTATTTTGCACATTAGTTGATGCAGTCTCTTCATAGTCTCACTGGTCTTTATATTTTGGTGTGTTTTTGCAGTGCTCATACCAGTTTCTCCTTTCCATATTTAGTGCATCCTTAAATAGCTCTTGTAAGTCAGACCTGGTGGGAACAAAATCCCTCAACATTTGCTTCTCTGTAAAGGATTTTATTTCTCCTTCACTTATGAAGGTTAGTTTGGCTGGATATGAAATTCTGGGTTGAAAATTCTTTTATTTCAGAATGTTGAATATTGGTCCCCACTCTGTTCTGGCTTGTAGGGTTTCTGCAGAGATCCACTTTTAGTCCAATGGGCTTCCCTTTGTAGGTAATCTGACCTTCCTCTCTGGCTGCCCTTAACATTTTTTCCTTCATTTTAACCTTGGAGAATCTGATGACTATGTGTCTTGGGGTTGCTCTTGTCAAGGAGTGTCTTAGTGGTGTTCTTTCTATTTTTTGAATTTGAACGTTGGCCTGTCTTGCTAGGTTGGGGATGTTCTGGATAATATCCTGAAGCGTGTTTTCAACTTGGTTGCATTCTCCCTGTTACTTTCAGGGACCCCAGTCAATCCTATATTTGGTCTTTTCAGATAGTCCCATATTTCTTGGAGGCTTTGTTTCTTTTCAAATCTTGTCTTCACACCTCACTTCAGTAAGTTGATCTTCCATGTCTAATATCCTTTCCTCTGCTTGATTGATTCAGCTAATCAATCCCTTTTTAATTGAGTGTTTTTATATGAACAGTGCCTTATCAGCATCTGTGAAGATGATCAGATGATTTTGCTCCTTACTTTTATTAATATGATTAATTATATTGTTAGATCCCCTAATATTAATTCATATTTCCATTACCAGAATGATCTTACTTCATCATGGTATATGAGTTTTTAATACATTGTTGAATTTTATTTCAAATATTTTTTAATTTTTTCATTGATACTTATAAGTTAAATTAACTACATTTTATTTAATGTGCATTGTTTATCTGGTTTGCATATCAAAGCTGTGACCACTAGTGAAGGCAATAAGCTGTATCTCGAAAATCAGAAGTAACATATACGCACTTGGGGGAATAGCTATACATTCAAGCACACAGCTATATTTTATCAGTCACACCTCAAATAGATAGAAACCTGTAATGAAAAAAAAAACATAGGTTTTAATTTCATACATGCCTCTTCTACCTGTAGGGTCTCAGCCAGTACTTCAAGTTGTCTTGAAGGCTTACAAGATCTTTGATTTACTGGCAAGGGATCTCAAGTAACATTGCATCAGACCAAAGAACTATCAAAAACTGTAAAGGTCCTCAGATTTTACCCTGTATGCAAGCTAACAAGTTAGTCTGCTGACAGTTTCCTGGGTACTAGCAGAAGACATGAGACTTCTGGGTCAGAGCCAAAGATAATTTATTACCCACAGAAATATCAGTGATCATGTATGCCAAGGTGGGTTTATATAGGAGTAGACTTCCCCAATAACCTCAAAATTCATCAGAAGGTCTGATGAAGGTCTGAGTTATTCATGCCCACTCAAGCACATTCATGTAAGTTAATAAATATCTGCGATGTAGATGGATTCTACTTAAATGTGGTGCTTCATTCATAGAAAAACACTCAACTTAAATATGGTGCCATCATCCATACAAAAACACTCAATTTGAAAAGTGCACAAACTAACATCATTTTATTGTGGCCCTACTAAAGTATAGTCAAACTGAAGTCTTTATCCCTGATTCTTCCTTTGATACTTTATGATCCAGTAGCAGTGGTCTGGTTCACTCTCCAGATATATACAGTAGACTTGTTCAGTTGTTTCTGGCAAGCATTGGCCCTGAAAGTTACTGTGCAGTTCCTTGAGAATCTTCTGGGTCTAGTCACAATCTGTAAACCATGGTAAGAGTCCTGCAGAGCCCTGGATGTTCCCCTAGAGACACTATCAGACTCCCATCATATCTCTGTTCCCCACAATGGCTTGCTGAGATGGTTTGTATATTTGTCCCCTCCAAATTTCATGTTGAAATTTCAGCCCCAGTGTTGGAGGCGGGGTCTAATGGGAGGTGTTGCAGTCATGGGCACAGATCCCTCATGAGTGGGTTGGTGCCCTCCCCTCAGTAATGAATGAATTCTTGCTCTATTAGTTCATGCAAGAGCTGGTAGTTTAAAAAGAACTGGGACAGGGTGCAGTGGTTCAATGCCTGTAATCCCACCACTTTGGGAGGCCGAGGCAGGCAGATTGCTTGAGCCCAGGAGTTTGACACCAGCCTGGGCAATGGCAAAGCTCCATCTCTACAAAAAATACAAAAATTAGCCAGGCATGATGGCATGCACCTATAGTCCCAGCTACTCGGGAGGCTGAGGCAGGAGGATCACTTGAGCCCAGGAAGTGGAGGTTGAAGTGAGCAGAGATCATACCACTGCACTCCAGCCTGGGTGACAGAGCAAGACCTCCATCTCAAAAAAAGAAAAGAGCTTGGCAACTCTCTTGATCCCTCTCTTGCCATGTGATACACCTGCTCTCCCTTCTCCTTCTACCATGATTGGAAGCTTCCTGAGGCCTCACCCAAATCAGATGCCCGGCCCTATGCTTCTTGTACAGCCTGAAGAACTGTGAGTGAAAATAAATCTCTTTGCTTTATGTCAGTCTCAGGTATCCTTCTACATCAGTACAAAATGGACTAATACACTGACCTTGGCATGAAGCCGTTTCATGTGCAGTGATTACCAAGTTGTCTGAGTCTGGTGAAATAAAACACTCTATTAGTTCACATACAAGTTATATGCTGTGGATTTATTACTTACAAATGGGCAGAAGGGACAATGGAAGCCTAGGATTCATTGCAAGCTGGTCCTCCAAGATTCAGGAAAGCTGCCTGGGGTGGATGAAGTCTTGAATGTCTTTTTCCCACTTGCACTGCAGCTGAGGGACCACCAAAAGCAAACTGCCCTGGTTTTATATTCTGGGGTAACCTGAATCACTGGAATAAAGCATTGAAGGACATTCTGATTCTAGCGACACTCTGGAACAGAGTCTGAGCAGTCCTTGCCAGCTCCCCCTTATCTCAAAACATTGCATTTCCAGCGCATTCTTCAGTTATTCTTGAGAACTACAAGTGAGAAAGGGGTGAGGGGAACTGGGTTGATCCAAGGCCCCCCAGAGAATGGTCCTGCACATGGCTCCATTTGTATATCTTCTCTGCATCTCAGGAATATGACAGACATCCACTGGACCCTTTTTTAGAGGCAATAGAGGAGCTACTATGTTTACACATCAGGAAGAAAGCCTAGAAAGGTTCTGTGAGGGACCTCAGAATGGAGGCTATGACTGTTTGGATTGGTGGAAGTAAAGACAGAGAGTGCAAGTGAGGAGGTCTCTGTTGAAGGGGCAGGATGTCTACATGCAATCTCAGGGTGTCACAGGGTTTCAGTTGCCTCTTTTTCATGGCCTTTTCTGTTTCCAGCCTGCTGTGCTAACAAAGCCTTGATAAAAAGTATATATTCTAAGCCCCTGAAATTGATCCTGAACCCCAGGACATTCCTCTCAGGATTTGCATTTGGGGCAGATGGTGGCAGCAGCTGGAGGAGGCCTGGTAAGTGAAAAGTCCATGTCACTGGGCCTGTGCAGAGCTTCCACCTGTCACCATGGCTATTCCATGCACTTGCCCATTGTGCCAGCATCGACAGGGCTTCTGTCTGCTCTGGTCAGCTGGCTGATTCATTTTGTATTTGTGATTATTCTAGTGTCTCTTCCAAGGTGAACATTCTCTGGTAGGAGTAAAACGAGATCTTCACACTTTCTGTGCCTACCCATGTGTTGGTCCCCATGCTTCCACACCAGACTTCCTTGTCCTCAATTCTCCATTCTTTCTCTGTCCAGACCCCTTGACAGCCATGGGTCTGTGTCTCTTCTAACACTGGCACACTACTTTTTTCATACAAAATGTAAATCATTCAAAACATTGATCATTGAGAGGATTTTCCTGCACCACCCAGGCCTTTGAATAGGACTGTAGAGCAGCCGCTGTCCTTTTTTTTTTTTTTTTTTTTTTTGAGATGGAGTCTCACTCTGTCACCCAGGCTGGAGTGCAGTGGCGTGATCTCAGCTCACTGCAAGCTCTGCCTCCCGGGTTCACGCCATTCTCCTGCCTCAGCGTCCCGAGTAGCTGAGACTACAGGCACCCGCCACCACGCCCGGCTAATTTTGTTTTTGTATTTTTAGTAGAGATGGGGTTTCACTGTGTTAGCCAGGATGGTCTCGATCTCCTGACCTCATGATCTGCCCGCCTCGGCCTCTCAAAGTGCTGGGATTACAGGTGTGAGCCAGCCATTGTCCATTTTTAAGTTGCATCACATATTGAGCCAACAAATACATGTACCAGCCTTGGGATATTCCCTCCTTTGTCTGTGGGTCATAGGAGATTTCCCCAGTGGTCTTAGGTGTGACTGAGGCAGAGGCACTGCTACAAGAGTGATGGATGACATGAGATTTTGCTGCCTGCTCATGATTGTGCTTGCATCCCCTGCTCCTGCTAATGCCAAATCCTGGACGTGCTTCTATCTAGTGATGGACTGGGCCTGCATCATGATGGGCAGTTCCTGCCACATGGTCACTTGATAGACCACGGTCAGATGTTCCACCTCTATTGGGTCATGGGGCTTCTTGTACTACATCTTCAGTTTGCTTTAGGACCCTTTCCTTCCCTGGGCCCCGCTGAAAGCTGGGAGCCTCTTTGTCACTTGGTATGTGGGTCAGAGCAGTATACCCAGCCATGGACTCTGCTTCCTCCAAAACCCAAAGAGATCTCAAGCATTGTGCCTCCTTCTTCATGGTGGGATGGCACACGTCCTTTATTCTGAAGGAGTTCTTCTGGCATGACAAAGTCCACTGGGAACCTAAAAGTTTTACTGTTAGTGCAGGACCTTGAGTATTTATGTTTTTTTTCTCCTAACACTCATAGTGTATGTGTCTTACCAAGGCCTGTAAGGTACTTGCTACTTCTTCTCCTCCAGCCCATTCCTATGATGTCTATTAGCATACCAATTATGCTTATTTTTAAACAAATGTTTTTACTTGTTGCCCTAGAGTCTGCAATATACCTGTTCAAATTACCTAAGCCTACTTTCAAATAACATTATATCACTTCACGGGTACTGCAGGTATCTTATAACAGGAATATTCCTAATTCCTCTCTCCTATTTATTGTCACAGTTCTGTCACTCATTTCATTAATCTGCATGCTATGATTGCACAACGCTTAGTTACTATTAATATTTTGAATGCACCATTATCTATTAGATCAACTATGAACAAGAAAAAAAATGTTTGTTGTACTTTTACTGATTCCCACTCCAACACTTTTTATTTCTTAATGGAGATCTAAGCTTCTGACCCATATCAGTTTTCTTCTCTCTGAAGAACTTCTTGTAATTTTTTTTCAGGGCCCATTGGCTGGTGAAGTATTTCCTTCAGTTTTTGTTTGTTTTGAGAAATTCTTTATTTCTCCTTTACTCTTGAAGGGTAATTTCACTGGATGTAAAATTCTACGTTGGTGGTGGTTTTTTTTTTTAACACTTTAAATATTTCCCTCCACTGTCTTCTTGTTGGCACAGTTTCTGATAAGCAATCCACTGTCATTCTTCTCCTTCCTCCATAGCTAAGGCATTTTATTTCCTCTGGCTTCTTTCAAGATTTTCTCTTTGTCTTTGCTTTTGTACAGTTTGAATATTATATACCTATGTGTATATTTTTTGGTATTTATCCTGCTTGGTGTTCTCTGAGCTTCCTAAATCTGTGGTTTGGTGCCTGTCATTAATTTTATAAAGTTCTTAGCATTATTGCTTTAAATATTTGTTTCTCCTCCTCCTCCTCCTCCTCCTCCTCCTCCTCCTCCTCCTTTTGGTATTTCAATTATGCATGTTATGTCTTTTGAAACTATCACACAGTTCTTAGATATTCTGGTCTGTCTTTTTCTTTCATTTTTTGGGTTATATTTCAGTTTGGTAAGTTTCTATTGACATATGTCATGCTCACTGATTCTTTCCCTGGCTGAGTCCAGGTTATTGATGGCATTCTTCAAAGGCATTCTTTATTTCTTTAACGGTGTTTTTGGTTTTTCATCCTTGCGATAGTTTTCTGAGAATGATGGTTTCCAAATACCGCATGTTCTCACTCATAGGTGGGAATTGAACAATGAGAATGCATGGGCACAGGAAGGGGACCATCACACACTGGGGCCTGTTTTGGGTTGGGGAGAGTGGGGAGGGATAGTTAGGAGATATACCTAATGTTAAATGACGAGTTAATGGGTGCAGCACACCAACATGGCACATGTGTATATATGTAACAAACCTGCACGTTGTGCACATGTACCTGAAACTTAAAGTACAATAAAAAAAAAACAGTGTTTTTGATTGCTAACACTTCCTTTTGAATCTTTCTTAAAGTTCCCATCTCTCTGCTGACATTACCCATCTTTTCTTGAATGTTGTGTACCTTTTTAATGACAACCTTTAACATGTTAATGAAATTATTTTAAATTCTGCATCTGACAATTCAAAAACCTGTGTCATATCTGAGTCTGGTTCTGTTGCTTGCTTTGTCTCTTCAGCCTGTATTTTTCTTTCCTTTTAGTGTGCCCTGTAATCCTTGTTGAAAGCCTGATGCGATACATTGGGTAATGGGAACTGAGGGAAATAGGCCTTCACTATGAGACTTTATGTTAAGTGGCTACAGATTGCATTGTGTTTGATGTTTGCTGTAACTGTAGTCAGAGGTTTCAGTTTCCTCCAGTATCCTTGTTTAATTTCCTCTGATGTCTTCAGGTGTCCCTAATGACTCCTTGAGTACCGTACCAATGCTTGCTGACTTATGATGCAGTTACATCCCAATAAACCCATCATAAGTCAAAAATATCATATGTGGAAAATACATTCAGTACCCTGATAAGCCTATCATGAAGTCAAAAAATTACAAATCAAATTATTATAAAGTAAGGACCACGTGTATGTGTCTTGTAGTTCTTTCAGCTGCAATCCACTAAGCCACGATGTGGTGGTAAGAAGCGAGGCAAGGAAAGCATTCTATACATTTAGTATTAAATCTGCCTCACTCTTTCACTGGGTCTGTGTTCCTGGGCTGTGGCCTTCACAGGTTTTCTCTTCCCTTTCCTCTCTTTTTCTCCTTCCCCTCCTCCCTCCCCTCCCCTCCTCTCCCCTCCTCTCCCCTCCCCTCCCCTCCCCTCTCCTCTCCTCTCCTTTCCCTTCTGCAGCTCCCTACCCGCTTAGGTGATCCAGGCCAAGTCTGCTCCCCAGCTACCTCTTCTGCCTCATTTTCTTACAATCTTTCTTCTTCTCTGTGCTCTGGCCTTGCTGCATTTCTCTTAGTTACTTGAGGGTTTTATCCCATCTCTTGTGTCCATAAGTACTCTGAGGAGCTGGAACCAAGATGTTTCTCAGAAAGTGTGTCATCTAATAAAAATATCTTGGTAAATATTTTATGTGAAGGTGGAGTCCTGAGAACGTGGGTCAGCAAAGGGTAAAACAACCAAATAATTATATGAACTGCTCTTAATTAGCAAGGAGTTGGCTCACTTATAAATATTTATTAACATGGTACATAAATATCAGCAAACAGTTCTTTCAAAGAACAACCTTGCATTAGCAAGTAGGAATGCAAAGATAGGTTAATATTAGGATATTCATAAATAATTTCACGTGGTAATATATTCAAAAAGAAAACTAATTTGATCTTCTACTTATATTCTGAGAAGGCAGTTGATAAAGTTCAACCAGTATTTGATTTTTAAAGATAATTCCTTATAATACAAAATAGATAGCTGTGTCTACCTCAACATCAAATCCAGCATCATGCTTAGTCGGGAATTTGACAACCCTTCAACCTAACGTCAGGTAAAAGGAAAACATGTCATTGTTCCTTATTACCCCTACAGTTTTCTAGAGCAAGTGAATGCTACAACGATAAAACAGAAAGTAATTGCATGCATAAAAATTGTAAAGCTAGATATAAAATTATTTGCAGAAAATATGATTTCATATCTGTGAAAATCAAGAGAATAAACTGATGAACTACTTAAAAATAGGAGAATTTGGTAAGTTGGTAGGTGCAAACTAAATACAAACTATAGTAATTTACTAAGTTACAAATAAAAACTGATTAGGTATAACACATGTGATATGGTTTGGCTCTGTGTCTCCACTGAAATCTCATGTTGAATTGTAATCCCCAGTGTTGGAGGAGGGGTCTGGTGGGAGGTGACTGAATCATGGGGGAAGACTTCCACCTTGCTGTTCTCGTGATAGAGTTCTCATGAGATCTGGTTGTTTGAAAGTGTGTAGCACCTCTCCTTTCACTCTCTCTCTCTTCTGCTGGCCATGTGAATATGTGCCTGCTTCCCCTTCACTTTCCACCATGATTGTAAGTTTCCTGAGGCCCCCCCTCAGAAGCAGAAGCCAGTATAGCCCACAGAACCATGAGCCAATTAAACCTCTTTTCTTTATAAATTATCCAGTTTCAGATATTTCTTTATAGCAGTGCAAGAATGGACTAATACATCACATTTTTAAAAATAACAAAAAGATAAAATACCTAGGACAAACTTCTAAAATGTGTAACCTCTGTGTAAAGAAAACTTTAAGAAACATCTGAGGGGCTGGGCATAGTGGCTCATGCCTGTAATCCCAACACTTTGGGAGGCAGAGGTGGGTGAATCACCTGAGGTCAGGAGTTTGAGGCCGGCCTGCCCAACATGATAAAACCTTGTCTCTAATAAAAACACAAAAAACAAGCCGGGCATGGGGGTGGGCACCTGTAATTCCAGCTATTTGGGAGGCTGAGACAGGAGAATCACTGGAACGTGAGCCGAGATTGTGCCACTGCACTCAAGCCTGAGCAACAAGAGTGAAACCTCATCTCAAAAAAGAAAAAAAAAAATAGGAAACTTCTGAGGATATGCAGCAAAAAGAACTCTCATAGAAGGCTTGATGAAAATGTGCATTGGTAAAACCACTTTGGAAAATTATCTGGGCTGGGCATGGTGGCTTACACCTATAATCCCAGCACTTTGGGAGGCCAAGGTGGGTGGATCATTTGAGGTCAGGAGTTCAAGACCAGCCTGGCCAACATGGTGAAATCCCCCTTCTACTAAAAATACAAAAATTAGCCAGGCGTGGTGGCACACATCTGTAATCCCAGCTACTCGGGAAGCTGAGGCAGGAGAATTACTTGAACCTAGGAGGCAGAGGTTGTAGTGAGCCAAGATCGCACCCCTGCACTCCAGCCTGGGCAACAGAATGAGACTGTCTCAAAAAAAAATTATCTGGTAGTATCTATGAAAGCTGAAGGTTACACATAGCCAATATTCAGCCATTCTACTCTTGGGTGCATACCCAAGAGAAATAGGTGTTCAACAAAAGATAATGCCTATAATATTTATAGCAGTGTACTCATAAAAAAACTGAAAGCAATGCAAATGTCCATCTACAATAGACACCAAATGAATTGGGCTATATTCACCCAATAAAATCAAATACAGTTATGAGAAGGCATAATCTATACCTACATATTATAATATGGATACATATAAAAGCTTACAGCAAACAAATATGACAATTCCCTAAGCTATAAACTTATATGAGCCTTTTGTTCCACATGTGTTATCATAAAAAAGTCAGTAAATTATTTCTACATTACCTGTAAATTTAATTCAATGTCAGTTTTTTACAAGCCTCTGAAAATGTTCTCTTCTAAACTGGAGCGAAAACTTGGTTCTGAGGCACAGGTGGAAATTACCTGTAAGTGTGCCAGGACTCCAAAAACAAAAATAACCTCATAGGCCACAGTCACAAGAGCAAGCACCCATGCTCTGCAATCCATTACCACAGCCCAGGAAGTGATAAACTACTCTAACAATAAGAGAATTTAGTAAGTTGATGGGTGCAACTAAATACAAACTATAATAATTTACTAATATACAAATAATAACTGATTAGGTATAACTCATGTGATATAGTTTGGCTCTGTGTACCCACCCAAATCTCTCGCACACTCACCCTTCAACTTCCCCTCATTCAGTGAGGATTAGACTGTGCTTTCTGGATGTTGCTGTCACAGTTCAGCAGATGCTGAGATAAAGTTGTGCAGGCATGAAATTCATTTAGGAGTATTTTTGGGAAGAGCCTGTGGGCGAGTGAAGGAAGCAGAGGAAGTCAGGCTGTGATGACAACAAAGGCCTAGTGAGTCAACCCCTCCAGGAGCCCAGAGACTAAGATGGCCCTGCACAGCTACCCAAAATTGGGGCCAGAGGCCAGGCCTCTATACCTCTACACTGACAAGTCATCAGGTGTGAGTGGCCCTGGGAATGGGAGATGACCTTGGAGGAAGTGACTTTTTAGCTGAGACCAATCATGAGGTGGTGTCTTAGGGGTGGGGGCAGGGCTCAGCCAGCAGCTGTCAGCTCTCAACACTCCCGTCAAGTCAGCAGGGAGACTCGGGACTTCAGTCCTGAAATGGAGGGGAAGGAAGTGGATCTCAGTGGCTGACCATAGAGAATACAACATTGAGCAAAATTTGGGCTATTTCACTAGGTCTTCAGAGTCACACTACCATCCAAAGCAATGGCTGTGACTGGGTTTCTCGGGAGTCCAGCAGGTGCATGGAGAAAAACACTTCCCTCAGGCAAAACTGAAGCACCTACCAAATTGTGAAATACTACATTCTTTTTCTGTTTAAATGTGAAATATTTCTTCATTGGCTCCACTCCTTTGGAGCTTCCATGGTCAGAAGTTGAGCGGGGTCAGAGGTTTCGCTGGAAGTAAAAATGGTAGTTCACACTTCCCTGGAGAGACTTGTGAGCTCATCCATTCTGCAAAAGCAGGTGAGGCTGGCTGGGAAGGAGAGCAGGGAGCTGTGTGTGAGTGGGGGTCATGGGGGGCAGCCTGCATGTGAGTGTAGAGGCTGTGGGAGGGGAAGCTGAGAGTTCAAGCAGAATGTCACTCCAGCTCATATTGCACAGGACAGGCCTTTGCTTAACAGGCACTTTCTATCTGGTGTCTGTTGTGATGCTGTTGTCTGAAAACTGTCATTTACCTTTAACAGGATATTAGTGTCCCCAGGACAGGTCTTCAGAACTTGCAGGCAATTTAGAGACACCAAATCTAAACCTACTCTAATTGCTTTAATTACTGAAAAAGAATCAAAGCCCAGTGAATTGGGGACATCCCAAGTGTCCTCTAGGTTGACAAGAAAAGACTAGAACTTGGTCTACTAACTCCATGTCTAGATATATTCCAACACCTCCCAAGAAGGAGGCTGTGCTCCTAATAGTATAAGAGATGGGGTGGAGGATAGGGAGCTTAGGGAGAAGATTAGCTGCTCTAAAAAACGACTATAATTTGTAATTCCAGCTGAACCCCTAAGTTGCAGTGTGGTTCTAGGTAAGACACAGAACGATTTTTTAGTCCGTGCTTCTCTTATATATCCCGTGGCATCTTGAGTGGCTGCTGTGCTCTAGGCAATGTGTAAGACTTTTAGAAATTATTCCATGAAAACCACATGACAACCCTGCACAACTGGTTTTATTGACCCTTTTCATAGCAGAGGGAACTAAGTCTCAAGAAGCTTATGGAATCTTCCAGAAATGGTGGGTCTGGCTACAGTTAGGTCAGCTCATGTCTGAAGCACACGCTTGTTTCACTTCTCAGCCCTCCTCTTAGCTGGAGGTCATCTGGGTCTTCCAAGAACCACTTAGGGAAGTTTTTTTTTTTTTTAATGTGACCTTTTTCCATAAGTTATTGGGGTGCAGGTGGTATTTGGTTACATGAGTAAGTTCTTTTGTGGTGATTTGTGAGATTTTGGTATACCCATCACCTGAGTAGTATATACTGCACCATATTTGTAGTGTTTTATCCCTCGCCCCCTCCCACATTTCCCCCCAAGTCCCCAAAGTCTATTGTATCATTCTTATGCCTTTGTGTCCTCATAGCTTAGCTCCCACATATCAGGGAGAACATATGATATTTGGTTTTCCATTCCTGAATTACTTGGCTTAGAATAATAGTCTCGAATCTCATCCAGGTTACTGAAAATGGTGTTAATTCATTCTTTTTATGGCTGCATAGTATTCCATCATACACACACACGCGCGCGCACACACACACACACACACACTACAGTTTATCCACTCTTTGATTAATGGGCATTTGGATTGGTTCCATGATTTTGCTACTGTGAATTGGGCTATTATAAACATGCATGTGCAAGTATCTTTTTTGAATAATGACTTCTTTTCCTCTGGGTAGATATCCAGTAGTGAGATTCCTGGATCAAATGGTAGTTCTACTTTTATTTCTTTAAGGAATCTCAACACTGTTTTCCATGGTGGCTGTATTAGTTTACATTCCCACCAGCAGTGTAGAAGTGTTCCCTGTTCACTGCGTCCACGCCAACATCTACTGTTTTTTGATTGTTGGATTATGGCCATTCTTGCAGGAGTAAGGTGGTATTGCATAGTGGTTTTGATTTGCATTTCCCTGATCATTAGTGATGTTGAGCATTTTTTCATATGTTTGTTGGCCATTTGTATATCTTCTTTTGAGAATTGTCTGTTCATGTCCTTAGCGCACTTTTAGATGGGATTTTTTTTCTTACCGATTTGTTTGAGTTTGTTGTAGATTCTTAATATTAGTCCTTTGACAGTTGTGTAGATTTTCTCCCACTCTGTGGGTTGTCTATTTACTCTGCTTACTGTTCCTTTTGCCATGCAAAAGCTCTTTAGTTTAATTAGCTCCCAGTTATTTATCTTTGTTTTTATTGCATTTGCTTTTGGTCATGAAATCCTTGCCTAAACCAATGTCTAAAAGGGCTTTTCCAATGTTATCTTCTAGAATTTTTGTAGTTTCAGGTCTTAGGCTTAAGTTCTTACTCCATCTTGAGTTGATTTTTCTATAAGGTGAGAGATGAGGATCCAGTTTCATTCTCCTACACGTGGCTGCCAATTACCCCAGCAACATTTGTTGAAAAAGGTGTCCTTTCCCCCACTTTATGTTTTTGTTTGCTTTGTCAAAGATCAGTTGGCTATAAGTATTTGGGTTTATTTCTGGATTCTCTATTCTGTTCCATTGGTCTATGTGCCTATAAAACAGTATCACACTGTTTTATGGTTCGAAATTAGGTAGCGTGATGCATTCAGATTTGTTCTTTTTGCTTAGTCATGCTTTGGCTATGTGGGCTCCTTTTTGGTTCCTTATGAAGTTTAGAATTGTTTTTTCTAATCTTGTGAAGAATGATGGTGGTATTTTGATGGGGATTGCACTGACTTTGTAGATGGCTTTTGGCAGTATGGTCATTTTCACAATATTGATTCTACCCATCCATGAGCATGGGATGTGTTTCCATTAGTGTCACCTATGATTTCTTTAAGACGTGTTTTGTAGTTTTCCTTGTAGAGGTGTTTCAGCTCCTTGGTTAGGTATATTCCTAAGTATTTTATTTTATTTTATTTTATTTTATTTTATTTATTTTTTGCAGCTATTGTAAAAAATATTGAGTTCTTGATTTGATTCTCTGCTTGGTTGCTGTTGGTGTATAGAAGAGCTACTGATTTATGTACATTAATTTTATATCCAGAACTTTGCTGAATTCTTTTATCAGTTCTAGGAGATTTCTGGAGGAGTCCTTAGGGTATTCAAGGTAAACAATCATATCATCAGCAAATAGTGACAATTTTACTTTCTCTTTACTGATTGGATGCCCTTTATTTCTTTCTCTTGTCTGATTGCTCTGGCTAGGACTTCTAGTACTATGTTGAAGAGGAGCAGTGAGAGTGGGCATCCTTGTCTGGTTCTAGTTCTCAGGGAGAATGCTTTCAGCTTTTCCCTATTCAGTATTATGTTGGCTATGGGTTTGTCATAGATGGCTTTTATTACATTAAGGTATGGTCCTTTTATGCTGATTTTGATGAGAGTTTTAATCATAAAAGGATGCTGGATTTTGTCAAATGCTTTCTCCACATCTATTGAGATGATCATGTGATTTTTGTTTTTAATTCTGTTTATGTGGTATAACACATTTATTGACTTGCATATGTTAAACCATCCCTGTACCCCTGGTATGAAACCTACTCGATCATATTTTTTGATATGTTGGATTCAGTTAGCTAGTATTTTGTTAAGGATTTTAGCATCAATGTTCATCAAGGATATCAGTCTGTAGTTTTCTTTTTTGATTATGTCCTTTCCTGGTTTTGGTATTACTGTGATGCTGGCTTCATAAAATGAATTAGGGAGGGTTCCTTCTTCCTCTATCTTGTAGAACAGCATCAAAAGGATTGGTACCAATTCTTCTTTGAATGTGTGGTAGAATTCTACTGTGAATCTATCTGGTCCTGGACTTTTTTTTTTGTTGTGTGTTTGGGAGAGGAGGGTCTCCCTTTCCCACTTCTGCAGTTGGGGCACTCACAGTATTTGGGGTATCTCCCAGGTCCTGCAGGAGCAGACTGCTTCCTTTGGAGGGTCCTCTCAGGGTTGCTGGTTTGTTCTTGCAGTTGATCTGCCGCTAAAATTCACAATGTGAGCTTCCACAAGCTGCTCTGTCCAGAACTGCAATCTGGTCCTGCCTGCCATCTGCTATGATGATCTAATTGTCTCCCATTTAGGAAAGTTTTAAAATGATTTTTCTAGGCCAGGCGCGGTGGCTCATGCCTGTAATCCCAGCACTTTGGGAGGCTGAGGCGAGTGGATCACAAGGTCAGGAGTTTGAGACCAGCCTGACCAACGTAATGAAACCCCGTCTCTACTAAAAATACAAAAAAATTAGCTGGACGCCATGGCGGGTGCCTGTAATCCCAGCTACTTGGGAGGCTGAAGCAGGAGAATCGCTTGAACCTGGGAGGGGGAGGTTGCAGTGAGCCGAGATCATGCTACTGCACTCCAGCCCGGATGCCAGTGTGAGACTCCATCTCAAAAAAAAAAAATGATTTTTTCTGTCTCTCTCTCATCTTTGGCTTTTCAGTATGGGATAGAGGGAAAAGTCCACAGAGAAGTGCGGAGCCCTCCCCATGGACTCTCCAATCCAAGGCTTGCTCCCAGCTCACCTTCTGAGCAAAGTGTGGATCATTTCCTTTGCCCTCCCCTGACCTATTTATCACATGATGTCAATGAAAATGTACAATCATGGTTTGAGAGTAACCAAGGACAGGCTGTAGAGTGCATGGTTAAGAGTGAGTGTGGTAGAGTCACACTTCAACTCAAATATTTTTATCATTCTAAAATCAAATCTTCATAACAGTCAATTCAAAGAAGTCCAGCTTCTGCTCTCATTTCTATTCCCTCCCTCTGTACACAGGTAACTTTTTCCTTCCTTGTTACTCTTTCTTGCTTTCTTCTTTTATTTCTTCCTTTCTTCTACCTCTCTTTTTCTCTTTTTCTTCTTTCCCTTCCTTCTTTCTTTCCTTGCTTGTTTTCAAAGTATATCTTTCTATTGTCATCCTTATATTTATGTATCTATATGAAAATATATAACATATAAATATAATAAATATATATGCAAAAGTGTATCTTGTGCCCCTTACTAAACAAATGATAGTATCCCTTACATTATTTTATTCAACTCATAATTGAATAAAATACTTAGCAATATATCCTGGAGATGATTTTACAACTCTCTATAGAGATAGTCTTCACTACTTTTTACAATGAAGAAGTACTTCATTGCATAGATGTATCTAAGTTCATCCCGCCAGTCTCTTATTCATGGTAATTTGGATCAGTTTTTGTCTTTGCTTTTTTAAATAGTACTCTTCCAAGGAGATTTTTGCATAGTTCTTTCTATACTTTTGCCAGTGTATTTTTGGGCACATTCTTAAATTTGATAATGTGTGTCAAAGGGTAAATCCTTCTTTATTTACCCCCATAGGGCTGAACTCTTTTGCTTTCCCTTCAGCAGTGTCTGAGAGTTTCTGTCTTCCCTATACTTTTGTCAAGAAAGTAGGCTGTCAAACTTTAGGAGTTTTGCCAAATCTATACATGAGAAACATTCTCTGGAATCTACCCCTTTTCCAAGGACTTTTGGTTCTGGTTATTGGGTAATAAACAAAGATTTGGACACTTGATGTGCTCATTGCTAGAAGGTGTCACTTTTTCTAAGCTCGCCTTAGCAGACAGAGCTGGGAAAGCCATGCGTGCAAATTTACATATGCAAATCCACATACTTATGTTGATTTCTGCATCTCTCTATCTACATGCTTTTAAAAAGCAGTAAGTTCTATTCTTATTTGTAACTTGTTTGTGCAACATTATTTGCAATATACATACTACTTTGTTCAATCCTATTGTTACTGATAGAGTTGTCCAGGTTCTTGAAGTGTTGAACAAAGAATTGAACAAAATGCACAAAGTAACAAAAGAATGAAGCAATGAAAGACAAAGCAAGGAAGTAATGAAAGCACAGATTTGTTGAAGACAGTTTACAGGGTGGGAGTGAGCTCCAGCAACCAGCACAAGAATCTCCTTGTTACAATGCTCCCCAATGTTTTTATATAGCCAAAATAACTTGGCAACACCTCTAGGTGCCATTTATTTATTTATGACTGAGTCTTGTCTATTGCCAAGGCTGGAGTGCAGTGGTGCAATCTCGGCTCACTGCAACTTCTGCCTCCCAAGTTCAAGTGATGCTCCTGCCTCAGCCTCCTGAGTAGCTGGGATTACAGGCCGCATACCACCACACCCACCTGGGTGCCCTTTAGAGGTCTCCAATTGGTTACACCTTATGAAGGATTGGCCTGTGACCAATCAGAGAATAAAGTGGAAACTTATGTCTTGTTATCACAGGAGCAAGGATGTGGCCTTTATGCTGCCTAATCTTGCCTAGAACTGTCGGCACCTGCTGTTTTTTTGCTTATGCCTTAACCCTTGGTTACCTTAATTCCCTATTCTCCTGTCTCATTTCCTGCTGAGAGACATGATCCCCTTGAATCTTTATGGGAGGCAGAGGCACTGAAGATCAGCTTTCTGTAGCTGCTTCCTGCTGGTCACGGGCATTGTCCCTGCCTATTGAGAATCCTGGCTCTTTGTCCCTAGGTAGTTAGGTCAGTGTCCGTGGGCTGCAATGAAACTTGTACTTGGTCATAAAAGGTGCAGCTAGCTTGATCCAGTTGTGACAGTTGAGTATCTTTGGCTCGATTTTGGATTTTGTTCCAAAACTGACTGAAACCCTTGCACAAGCATCTGTAAGTGAGGGAGCAAAAATCAATTAACATTTTACACCAGGGAAAATTGGTAGGTATTTACTTATCTTTTGGCTTTCTTTTAAACAGGTACTTCAGGTCTTCCACAGGTTCACAGGTATAGTGGCTGGAGGGAGCCTCCAGTTCCAGGTCCAGGGCTTCAGATATTGCAGACTTAACCCTGGAAAGATGTATCCAACAATCTGATCCTAGTGCTTTGACTGTGGAAGGCGTGGCCAACACAACGGAAAACAGTCCTTTCCATTTGGGTTGTAATTGTTGAGCAGGTGACCCTTCGTTCCATGTTTTAACAAGTACCTTATCTCCTGGCCTGACCTTGGTGCGCTGGTTAGTTCCTGGTACAGGGAACCTTTGAGTTCCAAACTTTTTGTAAAGCCTGCTGAAATTGTCCCAGGTTAACTAAGTATTTTACTAAACCGGCTGCTTCTGGATCAATCATTAGATCATTAGTTTAAAATGGCCTCCCATATAATATTTCATATGGGCTCATATTAATTTTTGCTCTTGGGGAATTACAAATTCTTAAGAGGGATATGGGCAGTAAGCTGATCCAAGTTTCTGTTGTTTCCTGATGTAGCTTAGCTAATGCCCGTTTTAGAGTTTGATTAGCCTTTTCTACTTTCTTGGAGGATTAAGGCCTCCATGCTGAATGTAAATAGTATTTGATTCCAAGAGCCTTAGTTATGTGAGAGTTATTTGGGAGTTATAAATAACCCTTGAGTTATTTGGGAGACAAAAGAAGGCTGTGATCACTTTGGAGGCTTTGGGGTAACCCAAACTGGGGGAATATTTCCTTCAAGAGAAACTTTATAACCTCATTAGCCTTCTCTATTCTGGTAGGGTAAGCTTCAACACAGCTAGTAAAAGTGTCTATTCGTACTAACAAAAACTTGTATCCTTTACAACCTGGCATGTGGGTAAAGTCCAGTTGCCAGTCTTCCCCTGGGTAAGTTCTCCTTCTCTGGACTGGTCCTATTAGAGGAGGCATTTTGTTTCCTGGGTTGTTGAATGCACACAGTGAGCAGGTTTGTCAGATCTGCTTAACCACTGAAGCTAAGTTAGGCCCAATGAAGAATCTGTTTACCAGACCAGAGTGGCATCTCTTCCCATATGGAAAAAGTCATGAAGATTTTTATAATTCTCCATTGGGCCGTTTGAGAGAGATACATTTTTGATCCCATACACCACAGGATCCTTGTTTTTGTCCCCTTTGCTCCTTTATTAACTGTTTTTCCTGTGATGTGTATTCAGGTTCTATTGGGAAATCGTAGAAAGGAAGCAGTGCTAGGATTTGTTGAGATTGCACCCTGAACTGCTGCTTTGGCTTCCCTATCTGCCTTTTTGTTTCCTTGTGCTATAGGGGTTAAGTCCTTTTGATGCCCCCTACAATGGATTATAACTATGATGCAGGATTTTGCTCCTTAGCTCAGCTAGGTCTTGGTCCTTGTCTCACATCCAGGAAGAATTAGGCACACAGATACCAGAGAGTGGCTGCAGTAGAATTTATTAAGCAAAAGGAAAACTCCCAGCAAAGAGAGTGGTCCTGAGAGCAGGTTGCCATTGCACCCTTCACAGTTGAATATCCAGGCTTAAGGTGCAAATTCCTGGCAGCTCCATCCCATCCTTCCAGTGCACATGTGGGCCCTTAGACTGAGTGACTCCAAATTGATTTATTTCCCTTACTGCACGTGTATTAATGAATGGAATTTTCCACTGCAGGTGTGTTTAGGCAAGCCCGCTGTGCAAGTTTCCTCAAATGTACAAAACATCTGGTATAAGCACTTGTGGGGCAGGTTGGAGGTTCTCTGGGGACCTTTCCCTTACTGTCTGCCTAAAGCAAGCTGGCTAACTCCTTTCAGCTATGGCCTCTGGCAAGTATATTGTTTCCCGTAGTTGAAGAATTTCACACCCATGCTTTATGGAGAAATGCTTATCAGTTAGTAGTCCTGTTTCTTTCCAAATTTTGGCATGAGCATGAACCTGAGACCCGCACATTTAGAATCCATATAGATGTTAAGCTTTTTCCCTTTTCCCAATATTGGAGCTCAGGTAAGAGCAATAATTTCAGCTTTTTGTGCTGACGTACCCAGGGGCAGAGGCTGAGCCTCAAAAACAGTGTTATAATTAGGATTCTCTTTTAGGGTGCTAACTCCCAGGGCAATGTTAGTGCTGGAGTACCAGGCATACTGTGAAAGGAGCCAGGGGTGTTAGAATGAGTGCCTCAGCTTAAAAGGGACACATTTGCATGATAGTAACAACTTGACAAAAGAAAAAGTTTATAAAATAAATTAATTATTGAGTATGAATATACAATCCCTGGTATGTTTCTGAAAACATTAGTCTTGCTTACAATAGGACTATATTTACGGAAAAATTTAAAGGAATTAAATATTTAATGGATACAATTTGGGATACAGCATGAAAGTATTTCTTCTTATGGGAACAATAGTGCCATTAATTTCCTTGATGCCTGAAATTCTATAAACTTATTCATTATAGACGTTATGAACTATCCTCGTCTCATTTCACATAAAACACAAATTTCCTCTACCTCATTTCAAATTTTAGGTAGAAGTTTATGAAGTAGCAAAAGAAATAAAGGTAATTTATCCACATAACTATTTTGGGGAAACAGAGGATGCGACTAGATTAGGGAAGGCATGGAATGGAGTAGGGTCATTGGTCTATTTACCAACGTCACTGACTTTGACCTCTTAGGAGTGGTAACTGCAGCTTTTTACGTTTAGTCTTCCTTGCTAAAGGTCAGGGAAGAGTGGCCTTCAGGCTTCCTTGGTAAAGGAAAGGGGAGGAGAGAAGGGAGCATCAGTGTGAGATTCCCAGGGTACCGCCTACCTACGCCCCTCCCCACTCCCCCAATATGGATCCCGCTGCCTGGATTCCTCCTACTACTCTCCCTCAGCCCTTGATTCTGTCTATTTTGGGTCCTTAGTTGCAAGACTGCCTTATTTTATGCATTATTTATGACCTGTGCATCGTCTTATTCCTCCAACGACACTGAGCTTGTCTCTTCTCAACAGTGTTCTCAGCACTGTACGCATGGAAGGGGCACCATGATGAACTGCGCAGCTGAGTTGAAATGAGATCAAATGGGAAGGGCAGTGAGGGAAGGGCCGACAGTTTCCCGTCTGTGAGAAAGCAAGGCTGCTGTTGTGCTGACTGCCGCAGCAAGCAACATGCTCTGGAGGTCCCTTTTTATGTCGGACTCCGTGGCCTCAGTTTCCTTTGTGAGTTTATACTCATTGACAAAGGCAGGCGGTGTAAGGTAAGAAGTGCTGGTCTGGAGCATGGACCCTCCTCCCTGGGCTGCCCCACGGTCTAGCCAAGACTCATTCCTGGACACATGGTCACTTGGGCCAGCTCTGTCACAGCCAGTGTCCATCCATTTCCCATCACATCCTCTGCATCCAGGTTTTCTGACTGAAGCCTCACACCCTCAGGGCCAGGCTCCCTCCTCCTTCCAGAGCCACCTCATTTATGGAAAAGCTCCCTCAGGTGACTGAGATGACACCAACTCTGCCTCCATCCCCTTTCCCTTTGGGAACCAAGATACCTAAAGAGAGCTTGTGAGCTCTGGGCCTTTGGGTGTGGGAGACAAGGCACCAACATCATGAATAAAAGCACAAAAAGACAATGAAAGATGAATGGGATATTCAAGACAATTATCTCAGGGGCTGTTTCTGGTTATAGGCTAACAGGTGGGGGTTCTCACGACAAAGCCCCTGGATGGATTCCACAATGTCCTAATCCCTGAACAGGGGGTCTTCTCTTTTCCCTAAAAATATCTGTATGTGGGCCAGGCACAGTGGCTCACGCCTGTAATCCCAGCACTTTGGGAGGCCGAGGCGGGTGGATCACGAGGTCAGGAGATCGAGACCATCCTGGCTAACACGGTGGAACCCCATCTCTACTAGAAATACAAAAAATTAGCCTGGCATGGTGGCGGGCGCCTGTAGTCCCAGCTACTAGGGAGGCTGAGGCAGGAGAATGGCGTGAACCCGGGAGGCGGAGCTTGCAGTGAGCCGAGATTGTGCCACTGCACTCCAGCCTGGGCGACAGAGTGAGACTCCATCTCAAAAAAAAAAACAAAAACAAAAAAAAAAACTGTGTGTTACAATTTTTTTGAATGGAAATTGCTTCTCTGGGGTTTGGAATCCACAAATTGCCGTGTTGCACATGTGGCGATAATAATGATCAACAGTGTCATCATCACCTTTATCCTTTTCTGAATTCTCTCTATGAAGCACTTTATCATCTTCAAAGTTCTCATCTCTATTGTTTTAGCATGTCCTCTAACATCCCTATGATATCGTCTAAATAGATATTAAAATCTGCTTTTAAAATATTCAAAAACTGAGCATGACAGGATGCACTGAAGCCATGCAGTTAGTTATGAAGCCAGTATGTTCTTAATAAAAAATCCATTCTAAATAATATTTGCAATGAGGTATACTAAGGCCGATAACACAAAACAAGATTGACAAGCTAAACCCTTCCACTAAAACCAGCTGGATAATTATTTTGAAAATTCTTAAGTGATAGTTTTTCCAACAATAAATCTTAGAAGAATAGACTGGAGGCATTCTAAATAGGATAATTTCCATGGAAAATAACCTGGAGTTTTTAGTTGAGCCAAAATCAATAAGAACCAATGGCGCAAAAAACCTTTCACCAAAAAAGCCCCTTTAACTCACGCTTTCTTAACAGAAGCCCTGGATCCAACAGGAAATAATATTCCCAACTCTCTGTAAGTTTATCAGAAACATAGATCAATTCCAGGGACTAGACTATAGGAAATATTGGCAATTTGGAGTGTTCAGTGGAGTGTAGCAAAGAATATGAAGGGAGTTTGTAAAATAATTATATATTATTATACATTATATAGAAAATAGTGAATGAGCTCACTAAAAGCTTCAGAAAAAAGCTGCTTGGCAGTTATACAGATCTGAAGAAATTTGCTATCAGTTGATATGCAAAGCAGAAAACAGACAAATGGGTACCTGTTTCAGAAATTTTTTCACCATGAAGGGAACTCTAAATAAGATATCCAAAGATGAAAGATGAAAGTGGGTAATGGCAGCAAGAGAAGACTAGTGTTTGAAAAGGGAACTTAGAAAGCTTGATGACTTTAGCCATAAAGCTTGACAATTTCAACCATGAGTAAAACAGAAGTTAAAGTTCACGCAGGAGAGTGACGTGAGGAGAGCTAATGTACCTTCCCATTTTACTAGTTTGTAATTCTGACTTTTGGTCTCACAGTAGGTCATCTGCAAGATTGGGACCACATAAAAACTTCCATGTGGTTTTTGAGAGCAAATGTTTTAATCTGCCCTCTTCACCCTCAGAAGTATCTCCTCCAGGAATCTACTCCAGTGCTTACATTTCAAACTCTTAGGATTTAGGGTTTTATTAATTAAGACTCTGTAAAACCTGTGGTTTAGCACACATGAAACTATTTACTAACACCTGAAGCATGGACATGGGAGGTGATATGAGTATGAGGGAGAGAGAAACGGGCTAGAGAAACGGGCTTGAGAAAGTGCATGCACATGAGCAGGTCAGGGTTGAATCTCCAGGCAACAGAGACAGTACAGCCATCTCTCCCACCCTCTCCCCAAGGAGACCTCACAAAGGCATTATCCCTCCCAGCCAGTCTTGACATACAGAGTGGAGGGTTGAGTAGTGAGCTGTCGAATGGGAAAATCGTGCAGTGCAGCCTCACCTGATGGTAAGATTTTAAGGATGTGTGTAGGCCTCTGTGAATTCAGTTTTCAGATCTTCCTGTGGCATTTCTCCATTTTTGCTCATGTGTTTAGCATTTGCCCAGTTTTGCACTGTATCATTTCACGAAGATCAAATGGGATGTGAAAAGGACAATAAAATTATTTAAATGATTAAATAATAGAAAGAATAATGCAAAGACATGCTGAAGAAACAGTTATTTTCCAAACATCCAGTAATCTTTCAGCAACTTGACTGGCAGATTTCTCTCCAAATACCTCACATGAGCAGTTGATGGGACATATTTACCAACTGTGCTCACCGTTAGCAACCTTGCCCAAAACCTAAATTCAGTCTGTTCTAGTCAACACCTGAAGCCCATTTTCTCCTCTCCTTTATTTGTGCAATGAATGGTATTAAGGTGTTCCTTGTGCCCCAGCTAAGGATTTATTATTTTCTCTTAGGCTGGTCTGCAGCTCCTTGTGGGCCAGTCCCTGGGTCCCCATGATGGCTCATGAGCTCCAATAAAGAATCACTGGGGACAGGTCCTGTATTAATCCCAAACATTCTTTCCATTAGACTGAGAGTTTGCTTGAGGTCAGAGATTCATGACTATCTTGTGGACATGTGATTTGCAGAGCCCAGCAGAATAAACACAAAAAATTATTAAGTAAGTGAATTTTGTTACATACCCTTTACACAGAAAAATTATTTTCCCTAGCAGAATAACACATGAAAAATTGAGTAAATAAAATTTATTACATATCCTTTACACACGAAAAAACCCCTATCTTTTTCACAGTGTAAATAGGTCTGTGCAGAGGAATATTTTTTTGCTTGTTAAAACTTTGTTTCAACATAACTTTGCTTACACAAATACACTCATATTGGTTAACAGAATGCAATTTAAGTTTAACTTATCCTACACAATTTGGATCAAAAACTTGGTACATGGTTTAAGATTTTTAAAAAGGATTTGCAATCTGGTTTATTTTTATCTATTACAAATGTATAAAAGATCCTTAATAAAATGCTGCTAAACAAGGCAGCAAGAACCTTTGGTTTGCTTCAGAAAAATAACACATATTGCACTGCATAAGTTTATAAAACTGGTGCAACAAAACATTGTTGTATGCCAGAGACATTGTTTCAATGCCAGTTTAGAAAGTTCAATAACTAATGGGTATGGAAGAGACTGGGAGAGAACCTATGTCCACATGTGAAACTGTAAAAGCTATCTGATTTAGTTAGTATTGCATGTAGATTGTAAATTCACACAAACCAAAATTCAGATACTTTCTAAAAGCAGAACTTCCATTCAACCCAGAAATCTCATTACTTGGTACATACCCAGAGGCATATAAATCATTCTACCATAAAGACACATGCACACATATGTTTATTGCAGCACTATTTACAATAGCAAAGACTTGGAACCAACCCAAATGCCCATCAGTAATAGACTGGATAAAGAAAATGTGGCACATATATACCATGGAATACCATGCAGGCATAACAAGGAACAAGTTCATGTCCTTTGCAGGAATATGGATGGAGCTGGAGGCCATTATCATCATCAAACTAACACAGGAACAGAAAACCAAACACCGCATGTTCTCATTTATAAATGGGAGCTGAACAATGAGAACACATGGACACAAGGAGGGGAACAACACACACTGGGGCCTGTTGGTTGGGCAGTGGGAGAGAGAACACCAGGATAAATAGCTAATGCATGCAGGGCTTAATACCTAAGTGATGGGCTGATAGGTGCTGCAAACCACCACGGCACACATTTACCTATGTGAAAAACCTGCATGTCCTGTACATGTATCCTGAAACTTAAAATGAAATAAAATAAAAAGAATGTAGGTTATCATTGCTTCCAAATAGGCAGCAAATCTAAAACTAAAACTGTCAGCAGTTTAGGCTTTCAGAACTCAGTTGTCAGATTCCTGCATGGCAGGTTAGGCCAGAGGCACCTGCTTCAACTAAGTGGTCATCTTGCCTACTCCTGAGGAAGTCAGAAATGGTCATTGTTGGGTCTGTCTGAATAAGGCCGTGTGTGGGTCTGCAGACTCAGAGAATAACTCTCCTGTCACCCTTGGGTCAGCACCAGCCTGGGGAGGGTCTACAGAGGGGCCTGAGCACAATTCCGCAAGGTGTCCGTGGAGAGACTCCTCCTCATCCCAGTCTGGCCTTCCAGCCATCCAGAGCACATCCCATGTGTAGGGAGGGGACATGGGCCCCAATTCTAACTCTGTCCTGTGTGGAAACCACACTGTATGTGAAGGCTGAGATAACAGATGGAGGAGGTGAGACAGAAAATGGCTGTTGCAGCCACAGGAAGTAGTGTTGCTGCATTCACAGGTAAATTTACAATAAACAGTCTTGCTTTCATATCTTGAGAAGGTTCTGGGAAATGGGCTCACATCAGTTGTAGACCACAGACCTCCTGGGGACATGCTGAGAGGCACATGAACAAAAACCTCTACACTGTATAATAAAGAGGTACAAACTTCTACAAATGGCAGGTAACACTGGTTTAAGAAAAATGCTGCATTGCCAAAGCAAAGGAAGAACTGAAACTATGAGGAGACATTGTCCAAACCTAAGTGCAAAGCCCTTGGGATGGAGGCGATCCTGACTCTTGAGGCCTTTTCTTCCTGTCCTGACCCTCCTGGGCACGCTTTGCTCCCCCATGATATTGAGGAATAGGTCAGAAACCAGGGGCTTTCAGGGGAACAGTATGGTTTGTGGTAAGGTGAGATAGGGATTGGAACATGAAGAAAGGGGGGCTGAGTGCCCATGTCTCTCAGCACAACCTGCCTCCTTGGTTATTTTGCACCAAGAGGGGGACAAAGCTGACATACTGGCCCCTCAGTCTCTGCAAGTCAACACTGTGTGGAATCTCAGGGGTCAGACCCCAGAACTTCGGGCTTTTACGAACATAGCTCCCTGGACAGGGCACTCTACTCCTCACCTCCCAGGGTTGGCATTGTCACTCTCCTGGTCTGGTCACCAGGTATGGTCTCCATTAGGGATCACAGGTCCTCAGAACCAGCCCTGTGCAGTTCAGCTGTGTTCCCACAGCTCTCTGAGAACTGAGTCTCTGTTGATGGGTCATTTGGCCAGCCTGTGCTAATGGGTGAGTAGAGTTTCGTGCTCACTGGGTAAGGTCAGAAATATCAGAGAACTTTGGATGTTGATGTGGGAAGAGAACTTAAGTCACCTCCCGCAATCCTCACTTTAACCATAAAACAAGCATCATGCCCCCAACCTTCATCTCCTGACCCCCAGGCTGCTGCTCTTTCCATGAGGTGGTGAACTTGTCAGTGGGAGGCACAGGTGCTAGGGTGCTAATGGCAAAGTCCATGCTGATGGGCTCCAGTGGAAAACCAGGGCCTCCATGCTAGCGAGGAGCCCTAGTGATGCAAACACAGTCCTGATGGATGCTACCATGCCACTCAGAGAGGGAAAGAATGAATGTGTCAATGCACCGCAGCAGAGACAATGCTGGGGGAGGCGGGCGGAGAAAGTCCCTACGTAATTTAATGCAGTACAACGAGGGCTTTTGGAGTTGATACCCTTCCCTTTGTTAATATCAATATAATTCTCTTAGTAGAAATTCCAGTTTCTATGACAGTATGAGAATGTCTCATGGCCATGAGTCATGCTTACAGGCAAAGGGGCTTTGCAACCATCTCTGATCACTCTAGCCTGGCAGTCTGCCTATGCCCTGAAATGTGCTCCACCACTCAGAGACAGAAATCATTGCCTATTCTCCAGACTGAATGAACTCCTAAAGCCTTTTTTCCCATAGAGATGCTAAACTCAGAAAGGATAAGACCTAAAAGTTGGAGAAGCTGGGAGGTGGCTGGGCCCCAGCATGGTGTGTGCACATGCGTTCTCTGGATGGAGGCAGAGCGGGCTCTGAGAGCAGACAGGCAGGCTCTGGAGTGGCCTTTTCAGGAAAGCCAGTGTCTCTGCTCTACTTTCTGACCTTCAGGACCCACTGATTCTGGGTTCAGCGTGGGACTGAGGAATGGGTGTCCCATGAGGTTGGATATTCCCTAAGGTAGTGGGGCTGGGAGCTGGGATCAGGATTAACAGGACACCATGCAAGAAAGAGAGAGGAAAGAGGGAAGAGCAGTGAGACAGAAAGAGGCACAAACTGACAGTGGGAGAGTGAAGTACAGGGTTTAGGGAGCAAAGGAGAGGCAGGAAAAGGAGAAGAACAGGGAGACTTTCTGTAGCTAGAAGGGACTTCTCTCTTCACTTCTCTAATGAGTCTGTACCCAGCAGATCAAGATTATGTAGCTCAGACCTACCATGTGTGTTGCTCAAGAAGCCATGATCACCTAGGTTACAGTTCACACTTCTTGGCCTGAAATTGACAGCTTTTATATCAGGCTGCAAACTTTCTTCACAGCCCCCTTGCTTCTATTCTGCTACCTTATGAGACTCGCAGCAAGGCGCTTGGGGTAGACAGACTCCATCTCTGATTCTACTTTCATTCTCTGAGTAACACTGGTTGAGTTCCTCATCTTCCTGAGCCTTATTTTTACTTCTTTAGACATGGACATGATAATTTCTACTTCCTACTGTTGCTGTAAGCATTAAATGAGAAGAAGATATAAAACCCAGGGCTGAGCCAGAAAGAATTAAGTAAGCGGTAGCTGTATCTGCTCTATAAGGGGTACCCATTTACTTTTTCTTACCCAGGCAATGCTTGTTTTTACCTTAAAGCCATTCACACTATTTCCTTCCACCTGTTTATTTGTCTGTCCCCAAAGTTCTCCACATTTCCAAATCCTCCCTTCCTTTAGTGCAAAATTCCTACATGACAACCTCCACAACTTGAGATTTTTTGATCCTCTGCTGTCTGTCAATCAGACAATGCCTCTTGGACTCCATTTCTCCATGTGTGCTGGTTTCATTTCCTCAGCAACATGGGAAGACATTTGTACAGATGGAGCCAGGTTGGTTTCTTCTTCTTTTTCCCCTTACTCCATCCTCTGCCACATGACAGATACATCAGAGATTTTAAACCTTACTTGGAGTTCATGTAAATGGCCCAGTCATTCTGATGGTCCCCAGGGGTGCTAGTTTATAGTATTAGCTCCTTTTCAGACTTACTGTGTATTAGACCAGTGGTTCTCAAAATGTGGGCCATGGATCAGCAGCATCAGTATGAACCGGAAACTTGTTAGGAAATATGGGCTCCATCCTTAACTCATGGAATCAGAAACTCTGGGGGCGGAGTCCAGCAATCTAAGTTTCAGTAAAACCCCCAAGTGAGTCTGATGCCTGCTAAAGTTTGAGAACCACTGAGCTAAAGCTTTGTCTGTTAAAGGACTCTCACCTATGATTAAATCAGCTGAAATGGAGATCATAAGAGAGTTTTTAAAAGCACATCTGAAATGTAAAATTTTAGGTGAGAAAAGTCAACATAAGACCCTCTCATCTAAGATCATCCTAGAAGAAACAAAATGGAGAGGTGCTGTGGGCCATCAGGAAACAGCCTAAATGTCCCTGAAAGTTGAGATGCCTCAGAAATAAACCTCCAACTTTTATTTGTAGCTGGGCACAGGCCCCAATTCCACTAGTCATGGCAGTGGCCCAACTTCAACAGTGCAAATGATACAGCAATGTCCAAGAGCAGTGGTTCTCAAAGTGAGGTCCCCAGACCAGTGGCATCATGGGAATTGTCAGAAATGCTATTTTCAGGCTCCATTCAAAACCTACTAGTTCAGAAATTCCAGGGATGTTGCCTAGCCATTTGTATTTTAATAAACTCTTTAGGTGATTCTGATGCAGGCTAAGGCTTGAAAACCTCTGTGCTAGCCACTGGGAATTCATCCTTTACGTGCACTTTTCCATTTAATTCAGACTGGATAGTTTAAATTGTTCCCACCTTAAGATGAAGGAAATTAGGCTCAAGTTTGAGTAAGGACACTTAGCTAGTCAGTGGCCCAGTAGAAACTGGAACTCAGTTCTGTCTAACTCCAGAACCCCAGTGAGAATATGGAGGACGTATTTTGGGTATATGTGATCACTGATGGACTGAGTAGTTAAAAATGTATGTGGGAGAACTTCAGGGCAGGATGAAGAAGGAAAGTTAGAGAAAGGCAAATAGAGCAGTCTCTGCTATTTTAATGGATGATATTCAAGCCTGGGATCTGTAGCAAGTTAAACCTATAGAGGTCATCTTTTTACAAGATGTGGCCAAGATAACAGGCAACAGACCACGTCAAAGAAACCTTCCAGTGGACCCCCAGCATTTAAGGACTTGATTTGTTTGTTTGTTTGTTTGTTTGTTTTGAGGCAGAGTCTTGCTCTGTCACCCAGGCTGGAGTGCAATGGCGTGGTCTCAGCTCACTGCAACCTCTGCCTCCCAGATTCAAGCAATTCTCTTGCCTCAGCCTCCCAAGTAGCTGGGATTACAGGCACCCACCACCATGCCCAGCTAATTTTTTGTATTTTCAGTAGAGACGGGGTTTCACCATGTTGGCCAGGCTGGTCTCAAACTCCTGATCTCATGATCCACCCACCTCAGCATCCCAAAGTGCTAGGATTACAGGTGTGAGCCACGGTGCCCAGCCAAGGGCTTGAATTGTTAACTCTTCACTTGAGCTATTAATATTTGATTTGTATTCAGCTCCTTTGACTTCCTTCTCAGTATCTCCCTGTGAGTTATTTTCCCCTTACCTAGCCACTGTCCTGATGGAAAACCTTTACCTCTGAGAGAGGAATGACAGCTCCAGACCAATGGGGTGCATGTTTTACTGAGGGGACTTTCAGCCCTTTCAGATCACACAGGATAAGACAGTTATCTACCCTCTCTGAGAACAGAGCTTGCTGCTATAGCAGCCCTGGGTCTTGTGGTTTCCTTTCACACACTGAAGTTATTTTTCACACTTCACAAAACACCTAGAAACCAAATGCCTCTCAACACTCAGGGAGATGAAACTCAGGAAGGACAGCAAGTGAAAATGAAAAGATATTATGGGAGAGTTTTTGGAGAGGAAATGGGGTAGGGGCTGACAGGGTTATGAGCAAAGGAAACAGAATGGGCTGGTGACCCAGTGGGTTCACCTCAAAGTTTACAGCCAGGGTTCCTCTATGCTCTCTTTGACTCACTTGTTCTGTTTCCATGCACTGAGAGGGTGCAGTTCGTGGGAGGCAGAGCAAGTGGAGGAGGACCACAATTAAAGCGACCAAAATTCAGATTATGTAAAGCCTGATGAGGGAGAAGGTTTTGAATTCATAATTCACACAGCCCACAATTACACATATCTGACTGTGACATACCTAGATTCAAGCCTGGAGTGTTTTTCCATTTTCCATAATAAAACATTCAGGATCCAAACTTAATTATGAGTTTCTGTAAAAAATCATCTGCTAAAATCTCCAGCCTCATTTCTACACAATGTGACTTCCCACCTTGAGGATCTAGCCATCCTTGGCTTTCTTTGATTAACTGAGAGTTCCATGTCTTCACTTACCTTGGAATATGCTTTATCTTCTTCCTGGAAATACTTCTAATCTCTTTCCCTAACTTCTACTCACTATTCAATTTCAGCTTAAACAATGTTGATTTTTCTAAGAAGTCTTTTCCAACTACTCCTACTATTAGTTTAGCAGATCCTCTATACACTCTTAAAACATCCTAGTGTTCTCCTTAATAACATTCATTATCCTACTGTTTTTGTTAACTGTCATGTTTGCCTGAGAAAGGAGGTAGTGATAGGGAAAAGGTGGTGATGGTAAAAATAGAAGAGGGAGGTTTTATAGGATGGCACAGAAGAAAATAAAATATTTGATTGGTTACAGTTATACAGTTACCTTATTTGGTCTACCCTGTTGTAAAGTCCATAGTTTTGTTTGCTGGCTACTTCTAATTAGTTGAGCTTAAGTTCTGCTTTTATTTAATATTAAACATTTACAAGAAATAGCTCAAATTAAGACTTGCTTATCTTTGCAAATCAAGCAAGGTTGAGGTCATTTGTAAGGCCTAACTGCTTTTGTCTGCTCAGGTATTCTCCGGGTCTGGTCTCCATTTTAATTTACTTTAACAAAAAGAGACGAGACCCTCAAACCAGGTCCAGCTAGAACTAGCACAATTGAAGACAGAATTGCTCTGTCTTAGAAATGGATAAGATTACTTAGGAATATCAAGGCAAAAATCCTGAATTAGCTATTAACAAATAGAATCAAGCAACACCTTGTGTGATTAAGATTTGTCTAAGTATGCAAAGAAGTCAATATTAGGAAATACTAGGAAATATTTTTATACAATTTAATGTATTACAAAGCTATGGAGCAACATAATCTGATCACCTCCTTAGCTGTTGAAAAGTAATTTGGTAAAATTAAATGTCTAATAATTGGTTCTTTTTCCCCATAAGAAAATTTTCCATCTCAACCTCAAAGTCTGCATCTAGTTTAATGGTAAACATTGAGATATTGCCACAAAAGTTAAGAACAAGCTAAGGAAGCCTACTATCATTGTGATTACTTATTTAACATTCTCTTAGATACTAGCCACAATAAATTAACAGTGAAAGAAATTAGAAGTTGTTTTATAAAAAATTCAAAAAAAGAAGATAAATTATCATTTTTGGCCCCATAAAGAACTTTTACAAATCAATATCAAAATTATTCCCATCAGAATTGAAACATGGGCAATAAATATGTAAGAGATATCAATAAAAAATATAGTTCTTTCTTTAATAAATAGACATATGACAAATGACTCAATCATATTCCCATTGAGTAATGTATATGAAAATCACACTAACATC